>NC_000023.11:36497834-36648191 GCF_000001405.40 Homo sapiens
CAAATGACATGAACAGACATTTTTCAAAAGGAAATAAACAAGTTGCCAACAAACATAAAAAAAAGTCAACATCTCTAAATATCAGAGAAATGCAAGTCAAAACCACAGTGAGATCTTACACCCATCAGAATGGCTAACAAAAACAATGAAAAGATCAGATGTTGGCAAGGATGCAGAGAAAATGGGATGTTTATACACCACCGTTTATACTGATGGAAATGTAAGTTAGTATAACTGCTCTGGAAAACAGTGTGGAAATTTCTCAAAGAACTAAAAATGGAACTACCATTGATTCAGCAATCCTAATTCTGTGTATCTACTCCCTCAAAAAATATATTAAAAAGATACCTGCATTTGTATGTTTATCATAGCACTATTCACAATAGCAAAGATACGGAGTCAACCTAAGTGTCTATCAACAGAGAACTGGACAAAGAAAATGTGATATATCTATAGATAGATAGATAGATAGATAGATAGATATCTCCATGAAATACTACTCATCCATAAAAAGGAATGAAATAATGTCTTATGCAGCAACATGGATATGGATGCAGCTGCAGGCCATTATCCTAAGTGAAATAACTCACAAACATGAATACCATATGTTCTCATTTACAAGTGAGGACTAAAATATCGGTACACATGAACATACAGAGTGAAATTAAAAAGTTGAAAAATTACCTACTGGGTATAATATTCACTTTTTGGATCATAGTCACACAAAAATCCTAAAATTCACGACTATGCGGCATATATATGTTCACCACTATGCAACATATACATATAAGAAATTTGCATTTTGCCCCCTAAGTATATAAAATTTTTAAAAGAAAAACATAAAATTAATTTGCAATTTCACAAATCTGTGCAACAAGTTAATTTGAATGTGTTTAAGATAAATCATAATTTGCTATGAAGTTTGGCACTTCAGTTGAAAACAATAAAAGAGTCCTCTATTTTATCCCTGATTTTTTTCTAGTTTTTTAAATAAAATGTTTCCATATATGTGAAATAATATTTAGAGGGAGAAGAGCTTGAGGCCTATTCAGTAAATCATGAACAAAAGTGAAAAGGGATCCTGAAGCTTTCCAGTAACTTATGTCCAAGTGTTTTGAACCACATGCCTTATGGGTGTTTACAAAGCCAGAAAAACAAGGAACAAAGGGAAGACTATACATTTAGGATGTGAGTGTTTTTGGAGGAGGAGTACAATTTTATGTAAAATTATAAAAATGTTCGGTAGTTTTTTTGGGAAAAAAATGTTATCAATACTGACATTAGCTTAAGTTATTTCTCTTGAGAAAACATATTCAATACAAAAATGAGTATTATGAAACTATATATATATGTATTAATATATAGAAAAGAGCATCACTGACTACCTGTACTTCTAAAATGCTTCTTTAGTACATATATTTTCTTATCAACATTTGTCAATTGCAAACATGAAAATTGATAAAATTGTATTATGTGCATACAGATATTGGTGTGTATGTATATACAAACACCCATATATATGGAAAACACAAGCATGTGGTAGTTGTGCAGAAGACACTATTTTAGACTGATGAAAAGCTCTTCAAAGGAGCTAATGTTTCTATTGTATAAAGGAGAAGTGGTTTAAAGGTGGAAATAGCAAGCTGGGACCTGTAATATATTCAGGCTTTGAGTTTTCCTTTATGGTTATGTTCTTGCCAAATTTTGTTATCAGACTGATGCTGCCTTGATAGAATGAGTTAGGGAGAAGCCTCTCCTTATACAGTTTTTTGGGAATAGTTTCAATGTGATTGGTGCCAGTTCTTTGTATATCAAATAGAATTTGGCTATGAATCCATCTGGCCATCTAGCCCAGGGCTTTTTTTTTTTTTTTGACTGGTAGGTTTTTTTTATTAATGATTCAATTTCAGAATGTATTATGGGTCTGTTCAAGTTTTCATTTTCTACTTGGTTTAATATTAGGAGGTTGTATTTTTCCAGGAATTCATCTATTTTCTCTGGATTTTCATTTTGTATGCATAGAGTTGATCATAATACTCTCTGGGGATCTTTTGTGTCTCTTTTGGGTCAGTTGTGATGTTATCTATGTCATTTTTTTTTTTTTTGAGACAGAGTCTCGCTCTGTCACCAAGGTTGGAGTGCAGTGGCATGATCTTGGCTCACTGCAACCTCTGCCTGCCAGGTTCAAGCCATTCTCCTGCCTCGGCCTCCTGAGTAGCTGGGACTACAGGTGCGTGCCACCATGCCTGGCTAATTTTTTTTTCTTTGTATTTTCAGTAGAGATGAGGTTTCACCAAGCTGGCCAGGCTGGTCTCCAACTCCTGACCTCGTGATCTGCCTGCCTCAGCCTCCCAAAGTGCTGATCTATGTCATTTCTTATTGTGCTTATTTGGATCTTCTCTTTGTTTCTTTGTCATCTAGCTAGTGGTTTACCAATCTTGTTTATTCTTTCAAATATCCAACTCTTGTTTTCATTGAACTGGATCTTTACATCTTAATTTCATTCAGTTATTTGGTAATTATAGTTATTTCTATTCTTTTGCTAGCTTTGAGGTTAGTTCTCTTTTTCTAGTTTCTCTAATCGCATGTTTCATTGTTAATTTGAAATCTTTCTAACTTCTTCATAAAGGCATTTAGCTATATTAACTTTCTTCTTAACACTACTTTTGCTACATCCCAGATATTTTGATATGTTGTGGTCCTATTTTCTTTAATTTCAAAGATGTTTGATTTGTGTCTTATTTTTGTGAGAGGGACTGGCAAGCAGAAGGGTCTGCAGGACAAATATGTGCCGTCCCCATGTGGAAACCAGCCCTGCTTTCTCCTTGTTCAACTGTCAGCTGGGGCTAGAGCTACTTAGAGGGAAATGGGAAGCCCTGGGGGTTGAGTGTATAGCCACACTCTGTGGTACCTGTATCCTGCACAAAAGCCCCTGCATTCCATGCCTGCTAAAGCCTTGTCTCGCCCGTTCTCTAGGGAGATTCCACTGCCAGTTCAAATGTTCATGATGGACATGAAGTACCTTGTAGCTAGGATCCCAGAGCTTCATGGTGAGAATAAACTCTGTCTCTTCACTCACCTATTCTCCAGGAGCTATTCAGGCCTGAGAACTAGCCAAGCGTGTGGGTGTCCTGTGCACCATCCCCTGCCTCTTCCCTCTTCACCCTAAGTGTTTATTTAACTTCTTTATCGACTCTTGATATTTTCTCTCTTAAGTTCTGCTCAAAGTACGTAGATTTACTTGACATTTTGGTCTCTCTCAGTGGGAGCAGTACTTCCTGGCTGCATCTAATTGGTCATCTTCCCACATTTTGTTTATCCATTCATCTGTACATAGACACTGGGGTTGTTTCTACCTTTTGGCTATTGTGAACATTGCTGCAATGACCATTGCCATGCAAGTAACTATTCAAGTCCTGGTTTTAAATTATTTTGAATATGTACTGATATGTTTTGAATGTGTCCTCCAAAGTTCATGTTTTGGAAACTTAATTCGCAATGCAATAGTGCTAAGAGGCGTGACCTTTAAGAAATGACTCATGAAAGGCTTAACGTAATTATTGCAAGGGTGGTGTTTGTTATATAAACAAGTTTGTCTCTTGCTCTCTTTCACCGTTTCTCACCGTTTCACACTCCATCATGAAATGACACAGCAAGAAGGCCTGCATAAAATGCTGACATCTTGATAAAGTTCCCCTTTGTAAAACATTAAATCATCTGAGTCTTATTCACTATCATGAGAACAGCGTGGAAAAGACTGCCCCCCCCCAACCCCGATTCAATTACTTCCCACCGGGTCTCTCCCACAACATTTCAGAATTATGGGAACTACAGTTCAAGATGTAATGTGGGTGGGGACACAGCCAACCATTTCATTCTGCCCCTGGCGCCTCCTAAATGTGAGATCCATACATTTCAAAACCAATCATGCTTTCTCAACAGTCCCCCAAAGTCTTAACTCATTTCAGCATTAACTCAAAAGTCCATAGTCCAAAGTCTCATCTGACACAAGGCAAGTTCCTTCTGCCTCTGAGCCTGTAAAATCAAAAGAAAGTTACTTACTTTCTAGATACAATGGGGGTACAGGCATTGGGTAAATACATCCATTCCAAATGGGGGAAATTGGCCAAAAGAAAAGAGCTACAGGCCCCATGCAAGTCTGAAATCCAGTGGAGAAGTCAAATCTTATAGCTCCAAAATTATCTTCTTTTACTCCATGTCTCACATCCAGGTCACATTGATGCAAGAGGTGGGCTCCCATGGCCTTGGTCTGCTCTGCCCCTGTGGCTTTGCAGGGTACAGCCCCCCTCCTGGCTGATTTTGCAGGCTGGTATTGAGTGTCTGTGGCTCTTCCAGGTGCACAATGCAAGCTGTCAGTGGAGCTACCATTCTGGGTTCTGGAGGATGGTGGCCCTCTCTCACAGCTCCACTAGCAGTGCCCAAGTGGGGACTCTGTGTGGGGGCTCCAACACCACATTTTCCTTCCACACTGCCCTAGAAAAGATTCTCCATGAAGGCTCCACCCCTGCAGCAAACTTCTGCCTGGACATCCAGGTGTTTCCATACATCCTCTGAAATCTAGGTGGAAGTTTCCAAACCTCAGTTCTTGACTTCTGTGCACACGCAGGCCCAAAACCTTTTGGAAGCCACCAAGGCTTGGGGCTAGCACCCTCTGAAGCAATGGCCTGAGCTCTACATTGGCCCCCTGTTGCCATGGCTAAGACACAGGGCACCAAGTTCTGAGACCGCAAAAAACAGCAAGGCTCAGGGCCTGGCCCACAAAAACATTTATTCCCCCTAAGCCTGTGGGCCTATGATGGAAGGGGCTGTTGTGAAGACCTCTGACATGCCCTGGAGACATTTCCCCATTGTCTTCGCAATTAACATTTGGCTCCTGGTTACTTACGCAAATTTCTGCAGCTGGCTTGAATTTCTCCCCAGAAAATGTGGATTTATTTTTTATTGCATTCTCAGGCTGCAAATTTTCCACACTTTTATGCTGTGCTTCCTCTTGAATGCTTGGCAGCTTATAAATTTCTTCTACCAGATACCCTAAATTATCTCTCTCAAGTTCAAAGTTCACCAGACCACTAGGGCAGAGGCAAAATGCTGCCAGTCTGTTTGCATTACAAGAGTAACCTTTACTCCAGTTCCCAAGTTTCTCATCTCTATCTGAGACTACCTCAGTCTGGATTTCATTATCTAAATCACCATCAGCATTTTGGTCAAAGCTACTCAACAAGTCTTTAGGACGTCCCAAACTTTCCCACATCTCCCTGTCTTATTCTGAGCCCTCCAAACTGTTCCAACCTCTGTCTGTTACCCAGTTCCAAACTTGCTTCCACATTTTCAGGTATCTTTACAGTAGCACCCCACTCTACCAGTACCAATTTACTGTATTAGTCTGCTCCCATGTTGCTAATAAAGACATACCAGAGACTGGATAATTTATAAAGGAAAGAAGTTTAATTGACTGACAGTTCCACATGGCTAGGGAGGCTTCACAATCATAGCAGAAGGTGAACAAAGAGGAAAGTCACATCTTACATAGCACTAGGCAAGAGAGACAGCATGTGCAGGGGAACTCCCCTTTATAAAACCATTATATTTCTTGAGAGTTAGCCACTATCACAAGAACAGCATGGGAAAGAATTGCCCCATGATTCAATTACCTCCCACCAGGTCCCTCCCATGACATGTGGGAATGATGGGTGCTATAATTTAAGATTTGGGTAGGAACACAGTCAAACCATGTCACTCCTCTTCAATTTTTTCGAAGTGTTTGCAAAAAATTATTTATTTTTCTTGAAGTGATAGAATTCACCAGTGCAGACCTGTGGTTAATGACATTTTTTGGTTGGATGTTTTGATTACTGCTTTAATCTTTTTACTAGTAATAGTTCTATTCAATTTTTTTTTAATTTCTTCATGATTTTGTGTTGGTAGATTGTGTGCTTCTTAGAATTTGTCCATTATATCTAAGTTATCCAACATTTTGCATAAAACTTAACATTATTGTCTTATAATGCTTTATATTTCTGTAATATTGATAGCTATAGTCCCACTTTTATGTCTGATCTTGGTAACTGGAGTCTAATTTTTAATCATTAGCCAATGTAACTACAGGTTTGTTAATTTTATTGATGTTATTAAATAACCAATTTTTAATTTCACTGATTTTCTCTATTGTTTTTTCTATTCTCTATTTATCTCTGCTCTAAACTTTATTATTTCTTTTGTTATGCTAGTTTTTGATTTCGCTTTCTTTGTTTTTACTAATTCTTTAGGGTGTAAGGTTAGTTATTGTTTTGAGACCTTTCTTCTATTATGTGTTTATAGCTACATCTTTTCCTCTTAACACTGGTTTCATTGCATCTCATATTTTTATTGTATGTTGTGTTTTTATTTTCATTTGCCTCAAAGTATTTTCTAATTTCTCTTGTTACTTTTTAAAATCAATTGGCTGATTAAGAGTGTGTTGTTAAATTTTCATGTATCTACAAATTTTCCAATTTTCTTTTGGGTCTTCATTTCTAGTTTCATTTCATTGTGATAAGAAAGCATGTATTGTATAATTTCATACTTTTAAAATTTGTTAAAGTTAATTTTGTGTCCTAACATATGGTCTGTCCTGGATAATGTCCTATGCCTACTAAGGAAAAATTTGCATTCTGCTATTTTCGAGCAGAGTGGTCTATATATATATTAGTCATAAAAGTTTAAACCTTCAAAATTCAAAGTTTTATTTCTGATAACTATTTTTCTCTTGGGGTGTCTCCTCTTTCCCTTCTGTATGGTAAATTTCTATGTTATAGTTGTCCTGACCTGTATTCTTAATCTCATAGAATGTTAGACCACATTTCCTGTTACCAAACTCATAAAATGAGGTTTGCATGGTATGGTTTAAAAATATCTGATGGGACTACTTTAGAGCAAGCATAAATTTTTCCTGAGGGTTTTCATCATTGGCAAATCATTTTTTGGCATGTGGCTCATTTCTCAGCATTCTGGATGCTAGAGGTTTTTCTCTGTAGCAGCTAAGTGTCATCAGTGAAGACATATGTTTTCACAAAAGTTGAAAAAAAGAACTTTCTTCCAAGATGGTTTTCATGATCCTGAGGGAAAAATGAGCCTACAGTTAAGGTGCAATTAAAATACAACTACAAGGTTTTTCTAGCTCAGTAACTGAAGCAGAAGACTTGTTTTTCTCAGAGTATCAGCTGGCATCACAGTGTCAAACATGCCATGGTATTTCCTAGGTGCATGGATAATGTGGTTAGCTGTGCCCTGGCATCTGGGGAAGGGAAATAATAAAAAATATGAATAGAACGACCCTCTGAATTACAGAAGGGGATGTGTTTCATACCGTGCTTATAAATTGAAGTCTAATGAATTATATGTAATTAAACTTCAGCCTTTATAAAGAGAGGAAGTATTGGCTTTCTATCATCAACAGATGCTTAATTAACATGTCATGATAAAGTCTCTAAATGGCTATTTTTATATTTTTTGGGATTACTTTTTACTATGGCACTTTTGCCCCATATATAGAATTGCCAACTGCATCTTTTTATTTGTAGAACACAGCTGTTTTTTCAGGTAGCCGATATTTTTTTCAGCCTTAATACAACTAAGCTACTGTAATTTTACTTAGACTTATGAGCAAAATCTTCCAGACAGATAAAAACTAATAGGTCTACAAAGGGTTTGGAACGTGAGGGAGAAACTACATATTTGGGAATCAGTCTGTACTTTGCAGGCGTCTGATCTTGGTAAATTCTTCAGTCTTGGTTAATTTAGGTCCTCCTTTTTAAAATACCAGTTGTAAAATCAGCCACATAGAATCTCTACGAATTTATACTAGGAGAATACACATAAAGCATAGAACGTGGTCTCAAAAATTATGCATTTAATAAACTCAGTAATATTTTTAAATGGTAATTCCTTATTACCACTTCTAACATGACTGAGACATGGCCTAGAAATTTCCGTTTAACAAACTTCCTGTGCAAGTCTAGTTATAGATCATAAGTGATATGTGTCACCCCATGGGGATAGAAATTAACAACGATAATACTAATACATTTTAAAATTATAGATGAATCAAACATCAACATATATTATTTCAGGGCCTTGGAAAATCTAACCTAAGAGAAGTCACATTGCTATAAATGAATGTAAATGCCACTGAAATTGCCCACGTCTTTTCTTATAATCAGCAGTTGTGCTTCACAAAAAAGCAAAATGTATACTATGCTTTTCTAGAAGTAGGCTCTATGTTGAGATTGTCTTAGAAAATCTAAACTCTTTAGGCTGAGCCATATAAAATTGCACATATTTGAATGATTTTGACCTGCGCAAATGGCACCTTCTCGTGGTTTGATCTAATACCATTTAATCTGTTTTCAAAAAACAACGTAATGGTTTCAGCTCTACTGTCTCCAATATTCCCTATTATACTATTTTAAAAGTACAATAAAATAGGCTATGGTAGAGTTGTCTGAGAAACAGTGAATTATAATATATTATGAGCCCATAAGTGTTGGGGGTGTGGATTATTCAATAACATACTGTGTTTTTAAAATAAATTTCCAAAACTCCACTTGAACAATCTTACATTGCTTTGAAACATCTGGTGCTCAAACATTATTTAAACATATGTATTATAATGGTTAGAAAGCAATCTAACCACCCAATGGCAGTTTTAAAATTAAAGAGTATTTACAGTCAGATATGAATTCCCTTTTATGTCTGAAAAATTTATTGTAATTCTTATCCATTCATTTTTCATACTATTTCTTTTTCTCACGGATTCTTCAAGATAGTTTCTTTTCTTTTTTTTCCTACACAGGTAAATCTGAACAATCTATTGCACCACCTAGTTGTAACCTCTGTTAGGACTCAGCTTGTAAAAGTCTTATTCACAATTCTACCCCAATAGCAAAAGTGGCATATAGTAGATACTCAATAAATATTTCTTGTAATAAATTATCAAATTAATTATTAATTCTAAAAATTAAATCCAAGTGCTTTCTACTGTGTTAGTCTGTTTTTGCATTCTTATAAAGGAATACCTGAGACAGGGTAATTTATAAAGAAAAAGATTTAATTGGCTCATGATTCCACAGGCTGTATAGGAAGCATGATGATAGCATATGCTTGGCTTCTGGGTAGGCCTCAGGAAACTTACAATCATGGAGGAAGGCAAATGGGGAGTGAGCACTTCCCATGGCCAAAGCACGAGGAAGAGAGAGAGAGGGGAGGTGCCACATAATTTTAAAGAACAAGATCTCACAAGAACTGATTACTGTGACAACAGCACCAAGGAGGATGGTGTTAAACCATGAGAAACGGCTCCTATAATTCAATTATCTCCCACCAGGCCTCACCTCTAGCACTAGAAATTACATTTCAACATAAGATTTGGGCAGAGACACAGATCCAAACCATATCATTTCACCCCTGGCACCTATCAAATCTCATTTCCTTCTTACATATCCAAATAGTGTCATTCCTTCCCAACAGGCCCCCAAAATCTTACCTCATTTCAGCATTAACTAAGAAGTCCACAGTCCAAAGTCTCATCTGAGAAAAGGCTGGTCCCTTCCACCTATGAGCCTGGAATTTTTTAAACAAAAACAAACAAACAACAACAACAAAAAACAAGTTAGTTGCTTCCAAGGTTCAAAAGGGTATGGGCATTGGGTAAATACTCCTATTCCAAAAGGGAGAAATCAGCCAAAAGAAAGGGGCTGCAGGCACTATGCAAATTCAAAATCTAGCTGATCAGTCATTAAATCTTAAAGTTTCAAAATATTCTCCTTTGACTCCATGTCATACATCCAGGACACATTGATGCAAGTGGTGGTCTCTCAAGCCTTGGGAAGCTCTGCTCCTATGGCTTTCCAGGGTTCAGACCTTGAAGCTGCTCTCATGGGCTGGTGTTTCAGTGTTTGTGGCTTTTCCAGGTGCAGAGTGCAAGCTGTTGATGGATCTACTATTCTGGGGTATGGAGGATAGTGGCCCTCTTCTTACAGCTTCACTAGGCAGTGCCCTAGTAGGGACTCCGTAGAGGGGTTCCAACCGAAATTTTCCCTCTTCACTGCCCTAGTAGAGGTTCTCTGTGAGGGCTCCACCCCTGTAGCAAGCTTCTGCCTGGATATCCAGGCTTTTCCATACATCCTCTGAAATCTAAGCAAAGGATCCCAAGCCTCAACTCTTGCAATCTATACACCCAAAGGCTTTACAACACATGGAAGCTACCAAGGTTATGGCTTGCATTCTCTGAAGTAACAGCCAGAGCTGTACCTGGGCCCCTTTTAGTCATGGCTGGAGCTGGAGCACGTGTGATGCAAGGAGCAGTGTACCAAGGCTGTGCAGTGCTGCAGGGCCATGGGGCTGGCCCAGGAAATCATTCAGTCCTCCTAGCCCTCTGGGCCTGTGATGGGAGGGGCTGGTGCAAAGGTCTCTGAAATGTCTTTGAGTCCTTCTCCCCATTATCTTACCTATTGACACTTGGCTCCTTTTTACTTATGCAAATTTCTGCAGCCTTCTTGAATTCCTCCTCTGAAATTTGGCTCTTTTTTTTGCCACATAGACAGGCTGCAAATTTTCTAAATTTTTATGCTGTTTCCCTTTTAAATATAAGCTACAGTTTTATGTCATTTCTTTGCTCATGCATATAAGCATATGCTTTTAGAAGCAGACAGGTTAATTCTTGAATGCTTTACTGCTTAGAAATTTCTTCTGCCAGATACCTTAAGTCATCACTCTCAAGTTCAAAGTTCCACAGATCCCTGGAACAGGGGCATAATGCAGCCAGGCTCTTGACTAAAGCATAGCAAAAGTGACCCTACTCCAGTTCCCAATAAGTTTATCATTTCCATCTGACACCTCCTCAGACTAAACTTCACTGTCCATGTCAATATCAGGATTTTGGTCACAACTAAGTTTCTAGGAAGTTCCAAACTTCCCCTCATCTTCTTATCTTCTGATTCCTCCATACTCTTCCAGCCTCTGCCCATTACCAAGTTCCAAAGCCAATTCCATATTTTTAGGTATCTTTATGGCAATGCTCCCCTCCCAGTACCAATTTTCTGTGTTAGTACATTCTCACGCTACTATAAAGGAATACCTGAAACTGGGTAACTCATTTTAAAAATAGATTTAATTGGCTCATGGTTCCACAGGCAGTTCAGGAAGCATGATGCTAACATCTACCCAGCTTCTGGGGAGGCCTCAGGAAATTTACAATCATAGTGGAAGGTAAATGGGGGGTGAGCCCTTTATATGGTTAGAGCAAGAGGAAGAGAGAGATGGGGACAGTGCCACACACTTTTAAACAACCTGATCTCAGGAGAACTCACTATCATGATGACAGCACCAAGGTGGGAATGGTGTTAAACCATGAGAAACAGCCCCCATAATACAATCACCTCCCACCAGGTCCCACCTCCAGCATTGGGAATTACATTTCAACATGAGATCTGGACATGGACACAGATCAAAACCATATCACTACCATTAGATTTATATTAAAAAGTTAGAACACTACAGATATGGCATAATATTGATACTATGGAGATAAATAGGTAGAAAAAGTGTCAAGATGATCTAAATATTTTAATTACCTCTACTCCACCTGTGGGCTATTATGTCAATTATAAACAATTACTCTTTGCAACTGCATTAAAAAAATCTTCACTTTTATCAAAGGCAGGCTTATCTTCATTAACAAATAAAATAACAGTAACTTTAGTTTGCTCTGCTCATTTTACCATAAAACCCAGCTCATCATAACTTGTCAGAGGAAATATTCACTCCCATTTTTTTGAAAGTTATTTTATAGTTATGTTTTCATGTTTACTGAGGAGTAATTAAAGGTTTAGATACTATGACTACATTACACATTAGAAAACATGAGTCAGGTAAATTATGAGATATACCAATATCATTTTTAAATCTCTAAGGAAATTTTAGTTTTACTATCCCCCTTAAAAACTGTTGTCTTAAATTTAAAAAAATTTATTTCTTAATGATGAACAAAATTTAAATAAATTAAATGCTATTTATTTTCACCAATCAACTCAGGTTTTTTCTTGTCAGTTTTTCAGGCCACAGCATGTTTATTTGCTAAATAATATGAACTCATTGGAATTGGAGTCTGAGGCTGTTAACTTTCAAAACCTCTCTTATAGGAGACAAGTTCAATCAGTCTAAAAAGCACAATGAGGCATGAAATCATTATGTTGCATTATGCAGCAATATAATTTATTTCTTGAAACACCTAAAAATGAATAAGCACATTTTAGAGGAATGAGAACATATATTCTACAGGGTAGGCTGAGATGAATTCAGCATGAAAAAGTTTCAAAATCCTACTGGGATGTATGTTTAGATAGTTTGGGTGTAAAGTTTATGATGACATGGAGGAATAAAGTATACTATGTGGAAGGTAACCAAAACAGAATTCCAAAAGGAAGAAGATGAGAATTAAAATTAATTACCTCTGTTGCACTCTGTCTCTCATATAAGCAGATCAATGTGATTACCATTTTATGTTTAATAATCCATATTTTCAAATTGTGGAGAGTTAAAAAATGTGACTTCTTGTTCTTCTTCCTAGTTTCTTTACACTACTCTCCAGATCCTTTACTAAAAGAGCAAAAATAAGACAAAGATAATTCACTTTTGGTACTGAAGGGGCCAGAACATGTACTATGGAGTGCAGTTTTAGGTCTCAAGGAGACCGTATTGGCATAGATAAAGCTCAATAAAATGAGAAGGAGGGAGAAAAATGGTGATGAGAAGTACCCATTTCAGAAAGCATTGAAAATGAGCTCTAGTGCCTTCATTGTGTCTAATACAATGTCTTGAATATTGGTGTCACCAAGAGGCCCATGGAAGATGTGCAATAAGAAGTAGTGGATTGATATTGTATGTGTTGTTGATTTAAGAATAAACTAGAAATGAGGTAAATACAGCTGAGTGTGATTAGTCTACAGCAGCAATTGAAAATGTGTAAATTCAAAGACAGCATGCCAAATCAGTTTCTCCATAGGACATAGCACAGAGACTAATGGGATTTGTTCCAACTAAAGCCTTTTGAAACATGTCTTGAAGCCAAATCTTATGTCTAAACAAGTTTTACAGTTCTATCTTTCCCTGTGGAAATATTTCCACTGAATTAAAACACAATCATGCTTGATGTTGTATCAAGATTAAACCACAATTTCAGCCTCTTGCTGGACAGCTGATTTTATTTCTCACACACTTATTTGAATTGGCAAGTCCAACAAACAACTGAGTTGAAGAGACCTGCCTGCAAAATTCATGAGGGAGCCTTCTGAAGTTTGCTCCTTCACTTTTCTATATCAAAGCCAATTGTTTTCACAGGAAAATGAAGTTTATTTAGGGCATCAAAATATGTAATAGGAGGGGTTTGTATCTTGCCTCAGGAAAAATTGTCAGTTATATCAGATCACCTTATTTGTCCTTATTTCAACCTACTTTCCTGATAATAATCGTTCCTCTGTAAGTTAGAATTACCTTTCTTGCTCTCACAAAGTATTTATCACAACATTTTAATAGAGGCATTTTAAATCATGTGTTCAGGTAACCTACAGTTTAGGAATTCATAGCATCATTAATGTTTAAAAGTCTAGCATGAGTTTCTTGATGATCCTAAATGATTTTTCTTTGGTTTTCATTCTCTTGCAAAAATAATAAAACCTGCTCAAAATAATAATTCCACCAAATATGAAAATATTAATTAAATATACATAGTGAGATAAGTTATATGAATGCATACTATATATAACATATAAATATGATATATTTAGTATATATACATGTATGCACATGCTATACATATATATGAAAGCTCCACTATGTGAAAAATCCATTTCTAGGTATCTTAAACAAAATTAAAACACATGATAAAGGCTGCCTCTTTCCCAAAGAAGTTTAAAATTTATGTCAAATGTACATAAACAGTTAAATTGATAATTATGTGCAAGGGCAGTATGAATGATAACAGTAATATATTAATGGAAGAGTTCACATGCTTTTCTTTATAAACTATCTTTGCTTATTTCTACAGCCATGAAAATATTGGTAACAGACACCCCGTCCTTAGAAAAATGCAATGGCCATGAATATCTTGTAGGACATTTCTCATTTTATTTAACAAGAACAAAAAAAAGCAAATTAAAATAAAGACATATTTTATTTCACATCCTAACTAATGTAAAACCTTTTCAATGACCCCATAATTTGGGTAAAAATAGGCAATCTGCTCCTTTACAGAAGTTTTAATTACTATGGCAGTCCTAATCTTTATTTTTAAATCTCAAAACTCACAAAGGACTCTCTAAAAAGAGAGAGTCTTACTCCTGTCAGATGATTTAGTGTGTAGGTTTCTATAAACTCCTACAAGAAGTCAGCATCAATGACAAGAGAAGAAACATTTCTTCATGAAGTATGTTGATTCTAAGAAAAGCCAATCATAAAGATGATTGGGGACACAGACTTAGAGGAAAAGAGCCATCCATGAGGGAACAAGTCATTAAGACTGTTCTTATTACTTGGGCAGTTCAGGGATTGTGCATCCAAATTGGCCATCAGGTGAGTGAAGACTTGTTCACTAATTAGACCCTAATTTGTAGGGCACTGATCTGAGGAAGCATAAATGAATCATCAACAAATACTTTTGCCACACTTGTGTGCTTTATCCTCACAAAGAACAGGTAAATTTTCCCAAAGTAAAATATAATATTATTAGAGAAGGGATGAAAATGGAAATCAAATAGAATAATACCCCTTGATATATGTATAGTACACAACATGTAGTTACTTTAGGATGCCATTTTTTTCCCTCTGAGAACTATCAAACTTATAAAACCAAGGTTTCTAACATACTTTTTTCAGAGGAAAATCTAGTTTTCAATTTATCAAAGGGAAAAAAAGTGCTTGTAAGTGGAGAAGGGGATGTAATTGCTGTAAATAAATTGGGAGCTCATTGAGGGAAGGCATACTGAACTGACATTGTCCTGAGTCAACTGGTTATGGTAAAGGCAAAGGACCAGGGAGAAGAATGTGACGGCAGGAAGCTGTGGCTGTGTCACCTGGTATAACCTGATCTGCCTTAACAACAACAGCAACAACCAAAACAGTGACCAGAAGTAACTACTGAAAGTACAAATTATGGAGAGAATTCAGGATGTTCCCTAATCCAATATGACTAATATCTTTATATACATAAAAGTTTGGAGATAGAGTTGCATACAGGTAGAAAATCATGTGAAGATAAAGTCAGAGATCAAGATGATACTTTTACATGCCATAGAATTCCAAATATTTCCAATCAATTACCAGAAGAGAGAAGAGGATCATGGATTAGAAACTTCCTCACAATCTTCAGAAGGAACGAATCTTGCCAGAACCTTGACCTCAGACTGTAGCATCCAAGATTGTGAGAAAATAAATTTTGTTGTTTAATCCACCCATTTTGTGGAAAACTAATAAAGAGCCCTAGACTTTTTGGATCTTTAAATTAAAAAGACTCGCTCCAGTTTCCCACTCATCAAACTCAACAACGGGGGTAGGGTAGTTTTCCTAAAATGCATTTTTATTTTTATATTTCTTTGTAAACTGTATTGCAAATGAGAGCATTTGTTCAACAAATACTGATGAATGCTTTCTAGTGACAGATTCTGTTTCAGGCAATGTTACCAAATATGGCTGGAAATAAGACAGGCAAGTGTTCACACTTTGGAGCTTACAGAATATTTGGAGAAGGTAATAAACAAATGAACAAATATGATAAAATAAAGTAAACTAGAAACTAGAGAGCACCAACAGAATGGGAACTATTTCTGTGATTTGTACAGAGAAATTCTTTGTGAGAAGTAGTCATTTGAGAGAACTGAGTAAAATAGGAAGCAAGACATGCTACTGTCTAGATGAGCAGAAGGGATAAACACATAACCTCAAGTGTATCATTACCTTGTCTTGGGAAGTGAGTGCATGGTGAGGTGATAGAAAAGGGCTATTGAAAGTATAGTTTTATAAATACTTATCTGGATGAATTAGCACACCGAGAGGTTCTTTTATTCACTTATTGTCTGTAATATATCAGAGTGCTTGTACTAATCAGAATGAAAGTACAAGGAGGCCTAAAAAATAAAATGCCTGAATTAATAGACAAATGATGTTATTCAGAGCATTGTCAATATTTTGTAAAGTATTGGATTTCATTAGAATTTTGACAAAATAGCAGACATAAACTAGTGAAAGCATACCTGGAAGAAATATATAAAATCCACAGAGATGAGCAAGATGAAGGAGCAGGATGCCCCACAATTATATATGGGCCAAAATGCTTTTGTGATAACTCAGTAATCTGTTTAAGAAGTTTTAGTACTCTAGTTGAGCACATAACTAAAATCAGCCACAACTGAGAACAAACATTGGTAGAAATAACAATTTCATTTTACCAGAGCCAGCTCCTCTCACAACCCTGCACAGTTTAGCACCTAGAGACATTGCCTCAGCCCACAACATTTCCCGTGGGGGAAAAGAGAGTGTTGGTCATGGGTACAACATCTCAGCCTTTTAGTTCACTGTCAGATGGCTCAGTTTATAGCTTGCCTCACATAGAGCACAGACAGAATTGGCGTAGTTTGGATGCTTAGAAGCAGTTAAGAACAAAGAAAATTGAGCTGGTGGATTGCTGCATCCAGCAAAATTCCTGAGACTAAGAGAAGACACAGAAGTTCAGGCTTCTCCCCCAGGAGAGAAAAAGAGGAGTGGAACATATCTTTAATGCATCAGACTTCCAGTGTGGTAAGGGGCTAGATTTTACCTTGCCTCACTCAGAGTGCTGATGGAACCGGCGTAATTTGTGGGAACAGGTAAGAGCAATGAAAAAGGGGTGGGCACCTTGCTGCAGCCACTATGCCTCTGCAAGAGTGGGAAAAGAGAAATAACTTGAGGCTTCTCCACAGAGAAGGGGGGAAAGGAGAGGCATGTGCTTCCAACATCCCAGAATACAGTACATAAGTCAGACTCCAGAGGAAGAAGGAGATTACAGGCTCCTGACAAAAGGAAAACTAAATAATTCATCTAAGTAGAAATCTACATAAAAAATTCCAGAGCTAACACATATGTAGAAAAGGTTTGAGATGCTTCCAGAATCTCCATACGGCTAATTGGTCAATGACTTTCCTGTTAAAACCAGTTTGTAGTGACTGAAAGAAGTGGCTGTTTATTCAAGCCTTTGACAGACATAAAAGCAAAATTATAAAAACATGGAGAATTGGAAAAACAGAACACAGTAAAAGGTACAAAATATGTCTCCCAAAACAGACTTAAAAAAATGGAGATCTATGAATTGTCTCATTATAAATTCAAAATAATCATCTTAAAGAGGCTCAGTGTATTACAAGATAACACAGATAACTAAATAAAATCAGAAAAAATATAAATCAACAAATTCAGAATATTGAGAAAGAGATAGCAACTATGAAAATACTGAACAAATTATGGAGCTAAAGAATAAAATAACTGAACCAAAAAAACTCACTAGAAAGCTTTAACAGCAGACTTAATCAAACATAACAAAGGATTAGCAAAGTTGAAGGTAGGTCACTTGAAGTTATTTATTAGGAGGAGGAAAATTTTAAAAATAAAGTATCTAAAAGGGTCATGAAACGCTTCTGATTGTACAGGATACTATTAAGTTAACCAACATAGGCATTATGGGAGTTACAGAGGAGAAGAGAGAGAGAAAGGGGTAGAAAGTTTATATAAAGAAATAATTGCCAAAAAATTTACAAATCTGGAGATAGAAATGACAATAAAGACTCATGAAGCCCAAAGAATCCCAGAAAGAATGAACACAAAGCAGTGTAGACTGAGAAACTTTATAGTCAAATTTTCAAAAGTCAAAAGCAGGCAAAAATATGAAAATAGCAAGAGAAAAGTGATCCATTATATACAAGGGAATGATTATAAGACTGTTAGTGGATTTCACAGCAGAAGCTTTGGAAGCCAGAAAGGACTGAGATGATATATGCAAATAGCTGAAATTTAAAAAACGACAGAACAATTATATACTCTAAAAAAAGTCCTTAAAAATGAGAGATACTTACCAAAACAAACAAAAACTAAGAAATTTATAACCCCTACCTCAAAAAAATGCTAAAGAGGGCTCTTCAAGTGGAAACAAAATAATTTAAAAATGCAAGATGAAAGTTGGTATAAGTAATAACTCATGATAAATGTAAACATATAGACAAATATGGAATACTGCAATACTGTTATGTCTAGTTGTGAAACAGTTTTCATTCTAGTATAAAAGTTAAAACACAAAATGTTAAGGATAAATATAACTATAAAACATATGTTAATGAATAAACAATATGGAAAGATGTAAAGTATGACATAAATAACATGAAATTAGTGTGGGGGACAAAAGTGTAGTTACATGTGGTTGAAGTTGTTACTATCTTAAAATAGACTTACAACTAAAAGATGCTTTACATAATTGTAATCGTAACTGCAAAGAAAATATCTATAGAAGATACACAAAAGAGAAAGAAACCAAAGCATATTGGAACAAAACATAAATTTACAAATGAAGCACAAGAGAAAAATAGGATAAAGCACTGAAAAGACAAACAGAAAGCAATTAATGAAATGAGTTTTTACCTATCAATAAACTCTTTAAACAGCACTGTTTACAATGGCTAAGATTTGAAAGCAAGCGAAGTATCCATCAACAGATGAATGGATAAAGAAAATGTGGTACATGTACACAATGGAGTACTATTCTGCCATAAAAGGATGAGATCCAGTCATTTGCAATGACATGGATGGAACTGGACATCATTATGTTAAGTGAAATAAGCCAGACACAGAAAAACAAACTTCACATGTTCTCTCTTATTTGTAGGATCTAAAAATCAAAACAATTAAACTCGTGGACATAGAGAGTAGAAGAATGGTTACCAGAGGCTGGCATTGGTATTGTGGGGCTGGAGGTATTGTGTATTGTGCGGTATTGTGGGGAGGTATATTGTGGGGCTGTATTGTGTATTGTGGGACTGGAGGGGAGGTGGGGATAATTAATGTGTATAAAAGAATAGTTGGAAAAAATGAATAAGACCTTCTATATGACAGCACGGCAGCGTGACTGTAGTTAAAAATAACTTAACTGTACATTT
Organism: Homo sapiens; assembly: GCF_000001405.40. NCBI lineage: Eukaryota > Metazoa > Chordata > Mammalia > Primates > Hominidae > Homo > Homo sapiens. The sequence goes on from NC_000023.11 coordinate 36,517,061, forward strand.
AAAAATAACTTAAAGAGTGTAATTAGATTGCAATTCAATGGATAAATGCTTGAGTGGATAGATAACCCATTCTTCATGATGTGCTTATTTCACATTGCAAGCCTGTATCAGAATATTCCATGCACCCCATGAATGTGTACACCTACTATGTACCATCAACATTTTAAAAAAAATTTTAAAAATAAAAATAGATGCATTATTTTAAAAAGGCTAGCCATTCAGTCCTCATTCAGGGGACAAAATTAGGGCCTAGGTTAGAGTAGAGAGGACAGGAGGAAGGAATGGATTAAGGTGATTTTTAGATAGAATTTAATGTACTTGTTGACTGATGGAACATAGACTATGAGGGAGGAATGACTGAAAGTGTTCCAACATAGGCGTCTGAATAGATGGGGATGTTGTAAATCAGGGCAGAGGCAGAGGGTATGAGGAGGTCTGCAATAAAGCACATAAGGGAAAATGAGTACTTGGTTGTATTTGTGTTGAATTGGAAGTGCCTATGGGCCATATAGGTCATGAGATGGCCTAGTCTTAAGTCAGACATATACGATAGTCAGGGCCCAGCAACAGCAATCCTCAAGTAGACTATGGGCCAAATGGTATTGAAATATGGGCCTGAAACTCTTGCTGCCTTTTGAAACCCTGCTTTTTTTTCTTTTTTCTTTTTCTTTTTTTTTTTTTTGACTGAGTCTCGCTGTGTCACTCAGGCTGGAGTGCAGTGGTGCAATCTTGGCTCACTGTAACCTCTGCCTCCCAGGTTCAAGCAATTCTCCTGCCTCAGCCTCCTGAGTAGCTGGGACTACAGGCGCGCACCACCATGCCTGGCTAATTTTTCTATTTTTAGTAGAGATGGGGTTTCACCACGTTGGCCAGGCTGGTCTTGAACCCCTGACCTCGTGATCCACCCGCCTCAGCCTCCCAAAGTGCTAGGATTATAGGCGTGAGCCACAGTGCCTGGCCGAAACCCTACTTTTATGGTCAAACACATTGAGAGCTAAAACAGCTATATTAGAAATGGAATTTGGGGACATAATATATTTAAAATTTGGGATCAGCATATATTTGGATTTTTAGTTGACTATTGAAATTGTATTGAGAGTGGTATAAACATGCAGTACTTTCAGAAATTGTGGTAATTACCGTCATAATAATAAGAAAGCCATACTGCAAAGATACAGCACAAAAGGGGCTTTAGAATTTGCCTCTACCTCATTCCTCAATGTCTTCTCTCTCTCTCTGGATTTTTACCCAAATAAAGAGAATCACATGTTTACTTCAATATTTTTCCTGTTTGATGCCTGTACTCATGGGAGAACAGAAATGTTTTCATATGCCTTGTGTGCAGTGGGATTATCCCCTATGCCCTGAAAATATTTGAACAATGTATTGAGCCAGGAGATCTATACCTCCCCTGCTGTATGGGCACATTTGTGCATGCACGCACACACACACACACACACTTGCTTCAGACTCACTAGTCTATCTTTGAATCTTTCACTGTGCTAACCTCCCTCAAACTCCCAAGTCTTTGCCCATGCTTTTTCACTTTCTGGGATTTATTTCCCTTTTCTGCCTTCATGCTGATTTTTCTTGCTAATCCTTTCTCTTCCTTCAAGAACCAGCTTGATGCTCCCCTTCCTTATAAGCATTGTCAGAGTCCTCTGGCTAAATCAGGAGATCCTCTGTGTTAGTGTCATTAGACAGCACTGCAATGACAGATTTTATTCCACGCGTTTTCTTACCTATGCTGAGCATAGTGAAAGGCAGGGCTGCCCAGTGCCTGCCCTTAATACCTGTGAAATCTGTGGGTGAACTGGGTAATGCTGGAGAATGAGAAGCCACAGCTGAAGGTTAAGGAAAACCTTCACAGTGATCTTGAGATGAAGGAATAGAAAGTCCAAAAGAAAAAATCAACAGAAAACTAATGAGTTTGCTTAATATAATCTACTACGTTTATACACTTTTCAGGAAAAAAAAAGTTTGATTACACAAGTAAGCATATGCTGATGAAATTGGCCCAGATCCAATTTTATTCCTCAGGAATAGACTATTAAATTTGCTTATGAGAAGAGGAAAAAACAGCCTTATCTGCTGGTTACATTTATTGATAGGTAGTTGCAGGGATATTCTGATGACTTATTATTCATCATTTGCTTCTTATGAGCAAGCAATTCTCATTCTGACCAGGCACTAACTGCCTGGTAGCTGGCAATTGAAGACAGATTCACATCTACAGGAACTGAGAAGTAAATGGGCTTTCTCTTTTTGCCCGCAAAGACCCATGGACATTTGCCACTGTCAGGTGCTGCTATACCTGTTGTGTGATGGTCAGTAAACAAAGCACTACAGTCTTGAGTTTAAGATCTTCATTGCATTTACAAATGATTTATTATATTACATTCATCTGTGGCAAGTCAATAGCAAAATAACAGAACTTCACTGTGAAGGCCACGGGTGACTGCCAAGGAGAAATAGAAGGTTCACTGGCTATAGAAGATTATATTCAGAGGGGAAAATTGAAAATCATGGAGCATTTGCAAATGCAGCCTGCATGGTATTGCTTCCTCTAGCAACACTTCTTGAGGATGTTTCTATCATACAGGAATCAATCTATCATGTCAACTTCAGCCCTTTATGACCTGGCTCATACACCTGCCATTCGGAGGCTCACTTTCTAGTGTATGATATTATCATGCAAATACCTCAGGATACTGTATTGCTCAGCGTTTTGGAATGTCCTCCTTCTTTCAAACAAATCAAAATGCGATTCTTGTTTTTTTTCCCCCCAACATCAAGATTTATCCCTACATTTTTTAGTATTATTTAAAAACTACTCTAGAGTTAATGAACAATGTTTCTCATGAACATAAACCTGTAAATCTCAATGTTACTTTAACACCAAACTGACATTATATACCGAGAGAGACCTACTATATAAAAAGGAACTTAAATGAATGTTATACAAAACATTAAATAAAATGGGAGAAAGTCTCCCCATGTACCAAGAGAGAGATGACTTTCTCCTTCCTGTGGAGAATAACTTAACACAATTTACCTGATGGATGCCTAGATGTAAAATACTATAAGCAAAATACAGCCATGTTTTCGAAAAAAAAAGAAAAGAGGAGGAGAAAACTGCAGGAACCGTGCAGCAATTTTAAACCAAATTTACAGGTCAATCTTCTCTCATAAAAAAAGATCAATTCTAGACAGAAAAGTAGGTATTTACAGAAAACAAGTCTGTTTTAAACTTTCTCTTTCAAATAAATGCTATCCAGGTGAAAAATAATTTGGAGAAATGCCATATGATATAATATGTTAATCCATCCACATATTTTTATCTTGCTCAGCTAACATAGGTGTGGCAGCAGGGTCTGGGAGAGACTCTCTTCCAAATTTATTGTGATCCAACAAAATACTTTTTATTGACATTCAAAGCATAAGCCACAGCTCAGTGTTTTGCACATTTACTGTAACTGAGGGATTCCAATGGAGACTGACAATCACAGGTTTTCACCTTTTTAGATACAAAGACAGGATAGACTCTGTGCCATGGAGTCAGAGTTTTTCTCTGGGACTTGACCTAGACTGAGCCTCTCTTTGATGGCAAAGCTGTGAGGAAAAGAGCTGCCGGGGCCAGGCTGAAGAACATGTGAGGAAGCTGGCTTATGGAAGGCAATGGAGACCACCAAAGAGAAAGACAGTTTGGCAAAGAGCATGCCACTGTTCCTGCTGTCTATCAAAGGACAATTGTAAGTTCAAGAAGAGAGAGTGAAAAATAGAGAAATGGTGATGAAATACCGACATTAGAATAGAGGATAAAAGGCTAAGTGTAAATACTATTGTTAGGGTTTACACTAGCATTTAATCTTTTTATTATGGTAAAATACACATAACAGAAAATTTAAAATATTTTCCATTTTTAAGTATACAGTAACTGTAGAATTAAATATATGCACATCATTGTGAAACAGATCTGTAGAACTTTTTCATCTTGTGAAACTGAAGCTTTATAGCCATTGAATAACTTCCTTTATCCCTGCTCCCTTAAGCCCCTGACAGTAACTATTCTACTCTATGTTTGTAAAAGTTTGCCCATTTTAGATACTTCATGTAAATGGAATTTTGCAGTAATTGTTTTATTTGTGACTGACTTATTTCACTTAGCATAATGTCCTCAATGTTTAGTCATGTGATACCCATACGATAGGATGTCCTTCATTTTTAAGGCTGAATAATGCCCCATTGTATTTTCTTTATCCATTTTTCTTTGGATTAGCATTTAAGTTGCTTTCACCTCTTGACTATTGCAGGTAATGCTGCAGTGAAGATGGGTGGGAAAATATCTCCTCACAATCCTGTCTTCAGTTATTTTGAATATATAGCTACAGTAGGATTGCTGCATCTTAAGGTATTTATATTTTTAATGTTATTTGAGAAATGTCCACAATATTTTCCATAGCAGCTACACCATTTAACATTCCTCACAACAGTATGTGAAGGTTCTAATTTCTCCATATCTTTGTCAATACTTGTTATTTTCTGTTTTTTTGATAGTGGCTATTCTAACAGATATAAGTGGATATTTCATTGTAGTTCTCATTTGCATTTTCTTAATAATTAGTGGTGCTAAACATCTTTTAATGTGCTTCTTGGCAATTTGTATATCTTCTTTGGAGAAATGCCTATTCAAGTCTTTTGATCATTTTTAAATTAGTTTTTTTTTCCTTGTCAAGTTGTATATTCTAGATATTAATCCTTTGTCAAATGTAGTTTGCAAATATTTTGTCCCATTCTGTAGGTTGCATTTTCACAGTGTTGATTGTTTCCTTTGCTATGTAAAATTGAAATTTAACATAGTCTCATTTGCCTATTTTTGCTTTTTTTTTTTCTTGGCCTATGCTTTTGGTGTCATATCCAAGAAATCATTGCTAAATCCAAAGTCATGAAGCTTTTCCCCTAGGTTTTATTCTAAAAGGTTTACCATTCGGCATATGGATATTCTGTTTTCAATCATCATTTATTGAAGAAACTATTGTTTTCCCCTTTTGTAGGCTTGACACCCTTGTGCTAAGATTATTTGACCATATATGCCAGGGTTGATTTCTAGGCTCTCTATTCTGTTTCATTCATCTATATGTAGGTCTTCATATGAGTACCATACTGTTTTGATTACTGTAGCTTTGCAAAATATTTTGAATCAGGAAGTGTGAGACCTCCAACATTGTTTTTATTTTTCAATATTGTTTTGGCTATTTAAGGCCTTTTGAGATAGCATATGAATTTTAGGATTTTTCTCTATTTTGCAAAAAAATGCCATTGAAATTTTGATAGAGGTTACATTTAATCTATAGAAGACTTTGGGCAATATGGTCATTTTAAGAATATTGTCTTCCAATCCATCAACATGAAAATCTTTCAATTAATTTATGTATTATTTAATTCCTTTCTGCAATGTTTTGTTTGTTCCTTTTCATTCTTTTTTATCTATTCTTATCTGGCTGTCTTATTTTAGAAAGTCAATCTTCAAGCTCTGAGATTCTTTCCTCAGCTTGGTCTACTCTGAAATTAATATTTATGATTGCAATATGAAATTCTTTTAGTGTGTTTTCCAGCACTATTAGATCAGCAACATTCTTTTCTATACGGGCTATTTTGTCTGTCAGCTCCTGCATCTTTTTATTGTGATTCTTAGCTTCTTTGGATTGGATTTCAAAACACTCTTGAATCGCAATGATCTTTGTTCTTATCCATATTCTGAATTCTATTTCTGTCATTTGAGTCATCTCAGCTCAGTTCAAAACCCCTTCTGGAGAGCTGGTGTGGTCATTTGGAGGAAGGAAGGCACTGGCTTTTTGAGTGTCAGGGTTCTGGTGCTGATTCTTTCTCATCTTTGTGGGCTTTTATTCCTTCAATCTTTGAAGCTACTGACTTTTGGATGAGTTTTTTAAAAAATTATATTTGTTAAACTTGAGGGTGTGATTGTGGTAGAAGGTGAATTCAATTGACAGGCTTCATTTCTGGAATAATTTAGGGGGCCAACGCTCACCTTCCAACTCTTGGACTGTGTGCTCTACCTCTGGGGGATTTGTGTTGGGCCCTGACTTTGTTCTTTGGCTCCTTGAGGTTAGAAATCCATTGTGCTAGGGTGCCCAGGTACTCCCAGACTACTGATCACTGCACTCCAAAGCATTTCATAGTGAGGCAGCAGTGGGATTTATCCTTGTTAACAGGTGCCAGCAGTAGTAGCAGTGTGGAGGGGTGCACACTTGCCAGCTGTGGCAGGGTGCTAGTGGGTGCTGAGATGTCTGCCTCTGTGCAAGCATTCACCACAGTGGTTGAGGTAACATGGCTCAGGGGGACAGGGGCACCGTGCTGGCAACTATGTGAGCAGTCATGCTGCTGGTGGTGTTGGCATTGGGAGTGGGCAGTTGGCAGACATAGGCCTGTGCGCTTTCTCTGTGCACACAGAGCTGTGCTTGCTTGGGAAAAGGGCTATCACAGGTGACATGTAATGGTTTGTTTTTACCCATTTCAATGTGGATGTTCTTTGCTTTACCCTACACTGGTAAGCTGCAGTTTTTTGTTGCTTTCTGCAGTTTTCATAAAGCTTCCCGGACTACATAGTTTTGCAAAGTCAGTGTTTTTGTTGGGAAATGAGATCTGAGACTTCATGTTCTACCTATCTTTCTGGGGTCACTCCTAAATCTCCGCACACATTTTATGAAAAGGATTAAGTCACTGAGATAGAGGAATAAGTTTTATATACTTAATAATTATTTTAGTAGCTACTCTGTTTTGACTGCTTACCATGTGCCTGACACACAGTATATAATGATATTCTCACAGCCCTAGCAATAAGAACTCAAAATGCCACTTCACCTCTCGAATTTAGCTAGTAAGAGATATGAAAGAAAAAAATTAACAAAGTAGCCCAAGAGCACCCTTCCAGTAAATGGTATGAAAGGCATTTTCAACAAGGCAATCTAAGTCCATAGCCAATGGTTTTAATGAATTGTTTCAAAGTCTTTAGTATTTAAAACTTTAGGACCAGATAAAAGGCAAAATAAACAAAAGATCAAAACACAAGCAGACAGTGATTTAGTTTAGCGAATTAACATTAATTTTATTGCTTAACATCACAGGAAACAAAAAAGGTCACAAGTAAGAAAGAACTAAATAAAATATGACAGTAGATACAAAAAATTCATAAGCTCCTAGACTTTGGGGAAGAATGCATTTTTAACTTAATATTTATTTAAATCTGATAGGTGTACCATTCAAAGAGAATTGGAGTTACTCTGGTTTCTAAATTGAATAATCATTTTGCCTCGTGTAGTAAATTCTGGATATTTATTAGGAAAGCCTTGAATAAAGCATATCAACAAGCCCTAGATATGTTTAATCAATGGAAACCTGCATGAATGGTCCAGAGACAATTTTCCAAACCCAATCAGATATAGGGATTTATGGCACATTATCTCCCCCAAGGAAAATTTTACGTTGAATCCCACAAAACCCAGCAAAACCTTATAAATTGGTTTCCTCCATCCCTTTACCAACATTGAATTCAATATTACTTTGGTATACAATTAACTGGGGAGTTTTATCTTTTCCAAGACTCCAGACTCAATTTTGCTATGTTTTCTAAAGGAAAACTTTACGTTGACCCCCACAAAACCCAGCAAAACCTTATAAATTGGTTTCCTCCATCCTCTTACCAACATCTAATTCAAGATTAACTTGGTACACAATTATTTGGGGAGTTTTATCTCTTCCAAGACTCCAGACTCAACTTTGCTACGTTCTCGAATTATGCAATCATAGGAACAATTTCTAAGGCAGATTATATCAGTAAATTATCTTCAACTACCTGCTTTTCTTCATTATTTGTCTTGCTGTTGGTTTTGTTGTTTCTGTTGTTGTAGCTTCAGCACCTCCTACCACATGGGGGAGAAGGTTGAGGGGCATTGGACAGATATTTTTATTAGATATCTTTTGTTCTAAACAGTCCATCTAAAGTTACAGTATTTAGAAAATATTCACCTCATTTTTCATGTCTTAGCAATACCAACAAAAAACTAACAAATAATTCTGGATCAGAATTTTTAAAAATCAGTGCAATGTTTCTTGTTTATAATTTATGACTCTCTTAACTATCACTCACCAAGGACGTAACTGATTGGCAAGTTAGTGGCCTCCAGATGACCCACCCTGCTTACAGCCAATTCACTTCCAATTATTTAAATTAAATAGCATCAAGTAAAAGTCATTGCTAAGGGTAAAAAGATGAATAAATTAAAATATGTTCCCTAAAGCACAGTTTCTATTAAGCCAGGCATATATGAGAAAATAAATTTAAATTAAAAGTATAAATGTAAAAGAAAAAATCAACAGCAGAGCAAAATTTGAATAGGACTTTAGATGAGATTATTCACGATTGATGGGCTCATTAATTTTTTGGAAAAGTAAGAATATAGATGAGGGAAAATAAAGTTGGTCATTTATTCTTAGTGCTTCTTATTTCCTCAGCAAATATCACCATTTCACTGAACTTAAAAAAAATGAATAAGTATTGTGCACTGGTTCTTGGAAAACTTCCTCTGTGCATTGAATGCCTTTTAGTTTGACCTCAAAAATCTTTGCGAAATGCTTTAAGAGTATGTACTGTTAGTTTTGTTTTTTTTTTGTTTTGTTCTGTTTTTGAGACAGAGTCTCGCTCTATCGCCCAGGCTGGAGTGCAGTGGTGCGATCTCGGCTCACTGCAAGCTCCACCTCCCAGGTTCATGCCATTCTCCTGCCTCAGCCTCCCGAGTAGCTGGGACTACAGGCGCTCGCCATCACGCCGGGCTAATTTTTTTTTTTTTTTTTTTTTTTTTTTTTTTAGTAGAGACGGGGTTTCACCGTGTTAGCCAGGATGGTCTCGATCTCCTGACCTCGTGATCTGCCCGCCTCGGCCTCCCAAAGTGCTGGGATTACAGGGGTGAGCCACCGCGCCCAGCCGTATTGTTAGTTTTAATATTAGCGGATAGGACGGTGGCTGAGAAACTTCCCTTCAGGATACAGAGAGGCTGTGCCCTCAAGGTATTCAAGTCTTATGCCTCCCAAAATATTCACCTGACAATACAAAAAGAAAAATTATATTTGTGGATACATTCACATTATACCAAAAATTACAGATTGATTTAGCCAGAAAAATGACTTGCACATATATGGAATTGTATACTCAAACAAATATGAACTGACAGATTTTTCATATTTTCATTTTAATTTTGGTGTTGCAGATATAGCTGAAAGTGTGGTAAAGTCCTAGATAGTAATTAATTCAGAGTTGTCAATTTTAGAAAACACTTGTTGTGTTGATATTCCACGTGAGTTGTTCCCTTTTGACCCAAACTTATTAACAAATTCTGTTTCCTATCACTCATTTATGTTCTTTTAATTGTCATCACAGCCAAACGTTTCCTATGTGTGAGATACATCAGAGTGTGAAGTGCTACTACTTTCTTTAGATACAATAATTTTAGAGCAATGCATAGAGAGGAATGAGGAGATTCTTTCATTTCATGGTGATAGTTTTTCTTTTATTGATTGTACATAAATCTAGAAAGAGTATGTATGATGTGGTAAAAAGAGAAATGGCCTGGGTGACAAAAGGGATGTTCCTCGTACCAATTATACCCATAACCTTAATGGACAAACTTTGAAAAGTCACCTAGGCTCTCAGCCTTAGTCCCCTCAATTTCAGCAGAAGGAAGAGAGAGAGAGAGGGAGGGAGAGAGAGAGAGGGAGGGAGAGAGAGAGAGGAAAGAAGGAAGAATGAAAGAAGGCAACAAGGAAGGAAGGCAAGAAGGAAGGCAGGAAGGAAGGAAGGCAGGAAGGAAGGAAGGAAGGAAAGAAGGGAGGGAGGGAGGGATTGCAAGAGGGAGGGAGGAAGAAGGGATTGCAAGGGAAGAGATGAAAATGAAGGAGAGAGGAAGGAAGAAAACAATAAATAAAGGAAGGAAAGGACACAAATTGGGAAATATATGTATTATTACATTATGTCCAAATAATTTATTTCTTATCTTCTGCTTCATTTTACCCTTCCACTTGAACTGAGATATATTCAATATGTTCATTCATTCAAGAACACATATTAAACACCTGCCATTGCTAAATATTATGCTTCAGGCTGGAAATGCCACAATAAATATCACATCATACCTGCACTGAATGTTTTCAGAGTGTAGTTAGGGTAACATGTAAAATATACAATGTCAATGCCTGCATGTCAGTGAATAAAGCCAATCAGAAAGTGGAAGATATTTTCTTCCATAAGAAAGAATTTTTCAAAAATTTGTTTTGTTTCTTTTCAGTGCTCTTCAGGTATTACTTCCTTTATGTTTTCTGACTTCTCCACTATTTTTAGGCCTCTCTGGATGTGGAGCAGATAGCAACAGAAATCAGGAGGTAGGCTGTTTTTGACTAGAATGAGATTTCGTTAGTGTCTTGCCAGGATCACCTTTAATTTTGGAATTTCATTTTTTAGCTCTTCCTCTGCTTTAGCCCCCTTAATATTTTTCTCTCTCATCTCTCAGGTTTTCCTTCCATTGGACGTCAATTTCTTGACAAGGAGGCTGCACTGATAATTATCCTGACAGAGGCATTTTTTCTAATGGTCCTCACCTGCTTTGTCTGGTGATACAAGCAATGGAATTCACCACACAGGCTTTTGGACTGTGGTCTGTATATTTCCGGGGATTCACACAAAAAGCCAAGAAGTGATGGTTTGTGCCAATACCTAGGTACACTGCCTCTGGACCTTGTCTTATCTGTAAAATAATTAAACTATAAACAAATCCTGTTAGTCAACAGACCTTTTAAGCCCAGACATTCTGCCACCTGTGTTTTTGAGAATTAGAGGCAGATTGTGCTTGGCAGGTATTTATCAATCCGTACATTGACTGATTTCAAATTCTCCACTGAGCAAACATCACAGCTCATTTAGTAGGTTTGGAAGAAGATGTTTTCACTATTGGACTCAGAAACACTTTGGGAAATATTGTTTTTACAGAGCATCCTGTCAAATCATCCAACAGACAAATATACTCACTTCCTAACTGCCAGGCTATGTTCGAAAGGCAGGACAAGAAGGCAGATTTTTTGCAGGAAGAAAGGTTCAACTACTAGAGGCAAATGTTTAGATTAACAAGCCCTATGGCCCAGTCAAACTTGGTTCACGTATTAAATTCTTTTTTGGTAAATAAACAAGTGCAGCCAAAAGGTTAGAGATGGATAAGAGCTGATAGTGTCCCAAAGGCTCACTTTCAAAATATAATAAAAGCAGGCTTCAGATCAAATTCCAGTATATGCTTATTTATTAATTATCCATTTTCAAATGTCCATAAAGCAATTCCGGAAACTTAGGAATGGCCCCTGATAATTATATTTATAAAAAGTATCCTGGATGATCCTGAAGCACACAAAATTGTTAAAACCACACCATCAAGCTGTACAGACATCAAAATTAATGCCTCCCTTAGCAACCTTCTATTTGGTTTTTGGGAAACTGGGAAAGAATAATGAAAAGAAGTCCAGGGATGGTAATATTTGAGACAGATTGTGCATTATCCATGCTCTTGAGCTTTATTTATTTTTTAAAATATAGAAATTATGTGTGAACATTATTCTTAAATACAGAGAGATAAAACCTACCCCAGGCCTGCTGAATCTGCAAACTTACTGTTGGAGAGTCATATGTATTTTGCAGAAACTTGTGGTTGATTCTAAAGCACAGCAGCATTTATGAATTATTCATATAGAGCTAGCTAGCTGGAAGCCAATTTTCATTTCTCTCATCCAAGTTCTAGAGCTTCCAGCAACAGAAAAACACTCACTTTTCTGCACCCACAGTTGCTATTAGTTAGCACTGTGATCTCAGGCAAGTCACTTAACACTTAAGATCTCTAGTTTTCTCACCGAAAAAAATCATATTAAACATAAGCTAATACAGATATCTTGATAAAATGTTATCTCAAGTCCATCCATTCAAAAACAAGTCATTGTTACAGGGGTGGTAGTAAATAGTATTTTGATAATAACCGAAGCATTTCTTTCTCTTATAATTTCTGACAATATTGGGCACCATACTCATTGGCTCAGTGGTGTTCCTTGAATCAGGGGAGTGATAGCTCAGCTGAGACTAAAGAAGTCAAGAGAGTTTACAAGTAAAGTCTTAAAAAACCCACAGAACACACAGGAATTGTGAAAGTCTAGCATTCCAATAAAGTTGCCTTGAAGCAAGCAGACCTGGAATGTATGCCATATTCAGTTAACTAAAAAAAATTGTATAATGATGTGAGAGCAATTTCCTGTCCCTCGCCAGAAAAAGAACCCACATATTAGAGAAGCCAGAATAATTGGAAGATATGATCAAGGGAGTTAAATTGTGGATAAAATTTTCTAGGGCTATGTCCTCAGGATTTTTTGTGTGTTAGAAATTAGACAGGCTTAGTGAAACCCAAACATAAAGAAAGGGTTAGTAAAAGCCTCCTAGGGTGGTCACAAGGCCACTTTAGCACCTTAATTTTAGAGTAGCAAGTTGTGAGTCAATATCCCTCGATGTGTATCACTGCTAAATTTTGAAAGTAGCCTACACCCTTCAAAAGGACATAAAATGGCTGAGTGGACTGGAGACTTCGAGAGTCCTCAAAATGACAGAAAAGTGAATACACATATTAATATGCAATAAACTAGGCACCACAGAGCAGAGGGACATGGACATTTGAACCATAGAGGCAGTGGATAGATATTAACCAATAAGATCAATTAAGTTTATACATCTCAGCCAAAGTCAACATGGGTTCTTGTTGGTTCAAATGTTGTTATACACAATAAAATCTCTCACTCTCTCTTTTCCAAATGCCAGGTTATTTATAGATCGTTGCTGCAACGTAGATCACCTTCAGGGCAAATAGAAGGAAAGAGAAGACAGAAAATTCCTAAATTAAGAGAGTGTTACCCTTAAAAGATTGAGTTTCAAAACAGAATTTACTGAATTTGCCTCAATTTAAAACATTGTCCAGAATATAGTAGACAAAAATGGTGACTATCTTACACCAAAGAGCTCATGGTTGGGTAGATAACAGATTATACCACCAGCACCCCTAAATCTGACTTAGGCCAATTTGGTCTTGCACAATCCTTAGTTTATTTTTGATAGGCTATGCTGTCCTAAAGGTGGAGATGGATAAAGGTATTATCATAAACTTTTCTCTCGGGTTAAATCAAGTCTTAGAAATAATACAGCCACATATGCAGACATAGATTACTCAAACACTGATCATCAAACAGGAACAAAATAGTTCATGCAACCTGTTCTGTTGACTCCATGAAGTTCAGCTTTCTGTCCGTTTAGGTGCTTTAACTACCTCTTTCCATAAAAGGGTCATTCTATGCTAATAAAAACCATTGCAAAGGCTGGAATCTCCAGCATTTATAATAGTTAGCATTATATATCCTCTCAAACCAGTGGTTTCCAACCTTGATTGCATATTGAAATCACCTAGGAAGCTTTAAAAACTACTAATTCCTGGATTCCTCCCCTAAGGATTCTGCTTTAATTGTTATGAGTTGTGACTTAGACATTTGCAGCTTTTTAAAAGCAAGTACTTCTAATGTGCACTCAGGTTTAAGAACCATAATCCTAAACAAGTAGTGGGCACATGGCTGCATGGAAGATTTTCAGTTTAATAAAGCCTTGGGTTTCATCCAAAAGTGTAAAGTCTACCAACCTCATCAGATTCTTAAAATCTCTGTGCATTGGGTGAGCAATATCTCCTATAGTTTGAGCCAGTCCATAAACCTTAACTACTTTTCATTTTACCTATAAGAGTTCATTAACAAAAATTATTATTCTATTTATTATGACTAACCAATAAAATTTAATTTTCTGGTATTTAATATGTTAATTGGCAAAGTCTAGTTTGTTGACTGAGATACAAGGAACAGAAGCTCTTTCAGGAACTGTCTCTTGAGTTTGGACTTCCTATTTGAGCACCAGCTGACTTTGTCTAGACTGCGTCCTTTAGTGTAATATTTGAATCCTAGTTAGTGCTTGAATTAAATATTTAAATGACACACATATTTTGTGTGTGTGTATGTGGTATTTGAAGTATATGATAAACATTATAACACTTCTTCCTACTGTAATCCTGGTTGGGCAGATTCTGTAACCTAAATTAAAGGTGCCATTTTCAATGCCTTCCATTGGGAAGGTATTTTCCAATGTCCTTCTATTGGGAGTTGATTTTTGTTTCCCACAGTAGACTCTACATCTTTTCGGCATTGGGATCATCTTTCCCTTACTTCAGCAAAGAAATCTTAATCATAAGAATAGTAGTACTCAGTCTTAAATGACTTTGAGAAAACAACATAGAGTGTTGTCCTTGCATAGAAAGTGAAAGTAAAATGGTCTGATTCCAAAACACAAATCTGTGGCCATAGTTTCCTGCCTATAGGAAAATCACAGTTCAGTCTCTTGGCATTAACTGTCTGGCTCCAAATAAAAATAAGAAAGGACAACCCCTACACTGTCCCAGTAACACGGCGACTCTAGTCCTGAAGACCCTTTCACTTCAGTGACCTCCTAATCCTGCCTCACTTTCCATAGCACTGGCCAAGATTTCTGAATGCTTATAGATTATTACAGAATGTGTTGTTTCTGTTTTAATTTACACACATACACACACACACACACAAAATAGTGGAGGAGTCTGAGGTTTTAGTGCACACATCACCTGAGCAGTGTTCATTGTACCCAATATGAAGTTTTTCATTCCCTACCTCCCTCCTGCCCAACGCTTTCTGAGTCTCCAAAGTCCATCACACCATCTGTATGCCTTCATATAGCTATAGCTTAGCTCCTACTTACAACTGAGGACATACAGTATTAGGTGTTTCATTCCTGAGTTACTTCACTTAGAATAATGACCTCTAGCTCCATCCAACTTGCTACAAAAGACATTACTTCATTCTTTTTTTTATGGCTGAGTTGTATTCATATATATATATATATCACATTTTCTTTATCATTGGCTGATGGGCACTTACATTGGCTCCATATCTTTGCAATTGTGAATTGTTCTGTGATAATCATATGCATACAGGTATCTTTTTATATAATGACTTCTTTTCTTTTGGGTGGATACCCAGAAGTGGGATTACTGGATCTAATAGTAGATCTACTTTTAGTCCTTTAAGAAATCTCCATACTGTTTTCCACAGAGGTTGTACTAATCTACATTCCACCAGCAGTGTAAAACTATTTCCTTTTCACCACATCCATGCCAACATCTATTGCTTTTTGACTTTTTAATAATGGCCATTCTGGCTGGGATAATGTCGTATTTCATTGTGGTTTTACTTTACACTACTCTGATGATTAGTGATGTTGAGCATTTTTATATGTTTGTTGGACATTTGTGTTTGTATATCTTCTTTTGAGAAATGTTTATGTCATTTGCCTAATTTTTGACAGATTTTTTGTTTTTTTCATTCTAATTTTGTTGAGTTCCTTTTAGATTCTAGATATTAGTCCTTTGTTGGATACATACTTTGCAAATATTTTCTCCCATTTTGTGGGTTGTCTGTTTGCTCTGTTGATTATTTCTTTTGCTGTGTGGAAGCTTTTCAGTTTAATTATTTTAATTTTGTGGCTTTTGTTTTTGGACTCTAAGTCGTAAATTCTATACCTAAACCAATGTCCACAGGGTTTTTCCTAGGGTTTCTTCTAGAATTTGTACGGTTTTAGGTTTTAGATTTAAGTCTTTGATCTATCTTGAGTTGATTTTTGCATATGGTGTGAGATACAGATCCAATTTCACTCTTCAACCTGTGACTATCCAGTTTTACAAACACCATTTATTGAATATCGTGTCCTCTCTCCAGTTTATGATTTTGTATGATTTCTCAAAGATCAGTTGATTGTAAATATTTAATTTAATTTTGGGGCTCTCTATTCTGTTTTACGGGTCTACTTTTATACCATTTCCATGGTGTTTTGGTAACTATTGTGTTGTAGTATAATTTGAAGTCTGGTAGTGTGATGCCTCCAGATTTGTCCTATTTGTTTAGAATTGCTTTGGTGATTGTTTCTTCTAATTCTGTGAAAAATGTTATTGGTATTTTGATATGAATTACATTAAATCTGTAGATTGCTTTGAAAAGTATGATGATTTTCGAGATATTGATTCTTCCAATCCATGAGCATGGGATGAATTTCCATTTGTTTGTGTCATCTATGTTTTTTTTAAAAGTTTCGTAGTTCTCCTTGTAGAGATTTTTCAACTACTTGATTAAGCATATTTGTAAGTATTTTTTGCAGCTGTTGTAAAAGGGATTGAGTCCTTGATTTTATTCTCAGCTTGATCGTTGTTGATGTATAACAGTGTTACTGATTTGTGTACATTTACTTTTTAACCTGAGACTTTACTAAATTCATTTATCAAATCTCGGAGTCTTTTGGAGGAGTCTTTGGGGGTTTTAAGGTGGACAATCATATCTTCAGTGAACAGAGATAGTTTGACTTCCTTTTTCAACTTGGGTTTCCTTTATTTTTTTCTTACCTCATTGCTCTGATTAGGACTCTGGTTACAATGTTGAATAGAGGTGGTGAATGTGGGCATTCTTGTCTTATTCCAGTTCTCAGAGGGATGCTTTTAACTTCTCCTTATTCAGTATGATGTTGGCTGTGAATTTGTCATATATTGTATTTTTAATTTTGAGGCATGTTCCTTATATCCCTAGTTTGTTTAGAATTGTTATCATAAAGGGATGCTGAATTTTAACAGGTCCTTTTTCTGCATCTATTGAGCTGATCATATGGTTTTAGTATTTAATTCTGTTTCTGTGATGTTTCACATTTATTGGCTTGTATACATTAAACCATCCCTCCATCCCAGGGAGAAAACCCATTTGATAATGGTAAATTACTCTTTTCATGTGCTGTTTGATTCAGTTTGTTAGTATTTTGTTGAGGAATTTTGCATCTATGTTCATCAGGGATATTGGTCTGCAATTTTTTTTTATTATGTCCTTTTCAGGTTTGGTATCAGGGTGATAGTGGCTTCACATAATGAGTTAAGAGGAAGGATTCCCTGTTTGTCAGTCTTTTGAAAAACTTTCAGTAGGAATGATACCAATTCTTCACTGACTGTCATATAGAATTCAGCTGTGACTCCATCTGGCCCTGGGCTTTTTGTGTTGGTATTTTCTTTTTTATTACTGATTCAATATCACTGCTTGTTACTAATAACAAGCAGTGTTACTTCTATTACTTTCCGATTCAAGCTAGGAGGGTTGCATGTTTCCAGAAGTTTATCCATTTCCTCTGGATTTTCTAGTTTGTGTGCATAGATATATTCATAGCAGTCTCAAATAATCTTTTGTATGTCAGTGGTGTCAGCTGTAATGTCTCCAGTTTCATTTATAATTGAGCTTATTTGAATCCTCTCTCTACTTTTCTATGTATATGATAGTGTATATATATATATATATGTGCTAGTACATAAACATATGCTAGTGTGTGTATATATAAATGCTAGTTTATCTATCTATGCACTATGATATATAGGTGTATCTGTATAGATATATGTTAGTGTGTGTATTTATTTTCCTGATGAAATCTTTATTAGCTGACTTTATCTCTTATAATGCTTCCTTGTCTTAAGACACTTACAGTGAAGCGGTGTCATCTGAGGTAAATACCTGAGGTTCGTTGTCTCATGCCAGGGAAATCGAGGACATGGACACACAAGAAGTGAGTTTAAGAGCAGAGATTTAAAAGGCAAAAGAAAGAGAATAGCTCTCTCTTCTGCAGAGAGAGGCTTCTGAGTGGGTCTTCTGGTTTTGTGGTGAAGTGCACGGGGTTTTATAGATGAGCTTGAGGAGGTGGTGTATGATTTACATAGGGCCCGAGAGACTGGTTGGACCAGATGTGCTGTTTGCATAGCATGCAAAGAAGCTGGCCATCTCACCCTAATCTTTTATTATGCAGATAGGGTCTCTATCTGGCCGGCGCCATGTTGCCTGCCTTTTTACTGCACACGTGGTGACAAACAAAAGGGAACAGGGAACCTCCATGTTGAACATGCCTGGCCCCCAGGTAGCCTTTTCCTATTGGCACAGCTGCTGGCATTTACCTACGCAAGATTCCAGCTTGCTTATTTATGTCTGCAGCTTGATTTTACAGGCTTCTCTTTCCTAGAAAAGAAATGATTTGGGGGTTGTTTTTTGTTAAAAGGGACACCTTACTGAGGACTCTCTTAACCTCATTATCTGCCTAAATAATTTCTTTCCAGCTCTTGTATCAACCATAAGGCCAATTCATGGGCGTGTGTTCTTGATGTTTTTCCTTTCCCTTTTTCTCCCATTCTGTTCAACACCCACATGGCTTTCTTCTTGATTCCCTGAGGATGAGATAAGTTCTTGTTTTCCTGAACACTAAGGATTTAGCCCTTTTAGGTCCCAGATTCCCCTTTCTGGGCAAGCTCTAACTTTTGACTTTTGTACCCCTCTTTCTCTCTTTCCCTCATTTTTACTTAAGCCAGATAATCTAATCACCCAAAATGAAGAAAACTCAAAGTCTTTTGGGGATGAGAGAGAAGATGAGGTTAATTGTTCTTTGTTCTGCTAAGCTCCCTGGATTTTCACTTTAGGGTAAAACTTTGACTTGGAATTTTCCAATAGTTTTGCTTGCTCTTTGACACTTTTAACATGGTTTTAATTTCTTATATTCAAAGTTTTGAGGTGTGTGTGTGTGTGTGTGTGTGTGTGAGTGAGAGAGAGAGAGAGAGAGAGAGAGAGAGAGAATTTATCTAAATAGCTTACCATTTCCAAAAAGCAAAATTTGACAGAAATAGTACTCTAGCATGGAACTGTTGAGGCTCAGAAAATGATACTCAAAAGTATGGTGCTTTGGCATGCTGAATATTTTAAATTAAAGGAGATTGGAAGGCATCACAATCAACATCTCTCTGACTTTCTCCTGCTACTCTATCTCTTGCCCCTCTTTCTCCACCAAAGTGAGTCATAGAAACAAGAATTTCTCTTCAGCAAACAGCAAACAGCCAGTGCAGTCCACAGAACAATGAGCTGATTAAATCTATTTTCTTTATAAATTAACCAGTTTTAGGTGTTTCTTTATAGCACTGTGAGAATGGGTTAATACAGAAAATTGGTACCAGGGAAGTGGGGCATTGCTATAAAGATACCTCAAAATGTGGAAGCAGCTTTGGAACTGGGTAATGGGCAGAGGTTGGAACAGTTTGGAGGGCTCAGAAGAAGACAGGGAGTTGAGAGAAAGTTTAGAACTTTCTAGAGATTTGTTGAATGGTTGTAACCAAAATGCTGATCGTAATATGGACAATGAAATACAGGATGAGGTGGTCCCAGATGGAGATGAGGAACTTATTGGGAACTGGAGTAAAGGTGACTCTTGCTATGCTTTAGCAAAGAGACTGGAGGCATTGTGTCCCTGCTCTAGAGATTTGTGGAACTTTAAACTTGAGAGAGATGATTTAGGGTATCTGTTGGAAGAAATTTCTAAGCAGCAAAGCATTCAAGACATGGCCTGGCTTCTTCTAACTGTGTATACTAATATTCACGTTCAAAGAGATAACCTAAAACTGGAACATATATTTAAAAGGGAAATTGAACACAAAATTCTGGAAAATTTGCAGCCCAGCCATGTGGTAGAAAAGAAAAGCCCATTTTCTAGGAAGGAATTCAAGCTGGCTGAAGAAATTTCATAAGAAAAGAGGAGCTGAATGTTAATAGCCAAGACAATGGGGAAAATGACTTGAAGGCATTTCAGGGACCTTCACAGCAGCCCCTCCTGTCACAGGCCCAGAGGCCTAGGAAGGAAGAATAGTTTTGCAGGCCAGGCCTAGGGCCCTGCTGCCCTGTACAATCTCCAGACACTGCTCTCTGTGTCCCAGCTGCTCAAGCTCCAGACATGACTAAAAAGGCCCCAGATATGTCTCAGGCTGCTGCTTTAGGGGGTGTAAGCCACAAGCTTTGGTGGCCTCCACATGGTAGTAAGCCTGCATGTGCACAGAGGGAAATAGTTGAGGCTTGGGAGCCTCTGCCTAGATTTCAGAGGATGTATGGAAATGCCTGAATGTCTAGGCAGAAGTGTGCTGCAGGCACAGAGCCCTAATGGAGAACCTATACTAGGGCAGTCTGGAGGGGAAATGTGGAATTGGAGCCCCCATGGAGAGTTCTCACTGGGACATTGCCTAGAGGAGCTCTGAGAAGAGGGTCATCATCCTCCAGACCCCAGAATGGCAGATCCAGCTGGCACTGTGCACCTAGAAAAGCCACAGGCACTCAACACCTGGCTGTGAAAGCAGCCATGGAGGCTGCACCCTGCAAAACCATAGGGATGGGGATGCACAAGGCCTTGGGAGCCCACCCCTTCCATCTGTGCAGCCTAGATATGAGACATGGAGTCAAAGAAGATTATTTTGGAGCCTTAAGATTTAATGACTTCCCTGCTTGGTTTTGGACTTGCATGGGGCCTGTAGCCCCTTTGTTTTACCTTTTTGTTCCCAAGACTAACCAATTACTGAACGGATGGCTTTGTCTTGATGCCATTAGCCAGGATGATCCTTATGCTCAAAGGGACAAGCAACACCAGGTTCATGATTCAAACTGCAAGGTTTTACATGCACTTTTGTTCAGTGTGAGATATACTTAAGGCACCACAAAACAAAAGTTAGTGTTTGGTTGTCACTTCTTTGATGAGCAAGTCTCCAGAGAACCTTGAAGAAGAACTTGTTAAGAGACTAGGACAAACCAACCCACACCAGGACTCGGAGAGAATTCTCAGCAGGTATTAGGCACCAGCCATAAGCTTGAGTTTCTGGTCAGGATACCAGTTTCTAGTAAGGGAAATAGAAAGAGGAGACAGCTCCAAATTGAAGAGGGGACCTTAGAATCTGTAAGTAATTGTTATAGGAAGGTGGGGACAAAGTTTAAGAAAAAAGCCCATGTCCCAGCAGGACAGTTAACTCGATTCTGAACCCTGGTGTATTAAATTTTATTTTCCTCCAGAAGAAGGCAAAATGATTCTACTTTTGTTTTTCTGTCAGCTCTAGCATACATGTCAAATGGTGGAAGTGAGAATAGGTAACAAAAATAACAAAAATACCAACCTTACTAGCCACAGTCAACATTGGTTTGTACTCATCATTGTAGAAGAAATAATCTCTGTGTTTTGTTTGCAAATAAATATATTAGAGTCATAAATTAACTTTTTTGCAAACAGCCTTGAAAGGAGAAATTTAAAATTAAAACACTTTCTTATGAACAAATAAATCCATGTCTCATATAGTAGATGCATTAGTAAATATTTAGCAATGGCAGACATAGACATTAAGCTAAACATCAAAGGGCTATTTTGTACTTTAAGATTTGGTAAGTAAATCCAATTTACTGTAAAAATACTCCAACAGGCAACATTTTCTATAAAAAAGCATGTGCAAGTTCCTTTTTGTAATTATAGTCTTTAGGTTAAGGATTATATTCTCAGGAAATAAAAATAATAATCTGCAAATAAAAACAATATTACAGGAGGGTTTCTTCCATCTGCAACACATTTGCCTCCAAATCAATTTTATAATGGCAGAATAAAGAATATGTATAGATTTGTTAAATCAGTACATGGCTAATCCTTTTTGTATCTTGTGCGTTTATGGTAACTGATTTGTAAATATTTCTCAGTTTTCTCTATTTACTTTCAATAAAGATTATGAAGAGCCGTGTATCCTGCCTTCACAAAAGCATGTGTGTCAAACACAATGATTTCCCCTAAAATTATTTCTCTCAATAATGTTGAAATATGTGCCTTATCATTTTATTTTAACTAAAGTGGATCACAATACAGTTACTCTTTGACTTATAGTGGGGTTATGTCCCAATATCCATTGTAAATTGAAAATATCATAAGTTGAAAGGTGGATTTTTATACACCTAACTTCCAGAACATGGTAGCTTGGCCCACTCTACCTTAAACATGCTCAGAACACTTCTGTTATCCTAGAGTTGGGCAAAAACTTGTGGCAACATAGTACAATGTAGAGTAACAGTTGTTTATCCTCCTGATTGTATGTCTGACTAGGAGCTGTGGCTCATTGCTGCTACCCAGCATTGCAAGAGAGTATCTTATCACATAACACTAGCCAAGAAAATATCAAAATTGAAAATACAACGTGCAGTTTTTACTGGATGTGTATTAATTTTGCACCAATATAAATTTGAAAAATCTTAAGTCAAAACATCATAAATTGGGCACCGTCTGTATTTGGTATGTAAACATTTGCAATTCCACAGGGATATTATGTATATAGGATATATGTATTTCTATATATCCAAGGTAATATGCTTAGGTGTTTTAAAAGTATTATTTTATTTGACCTTCCTTAAAACTTTACAAGCTAGGTGTTCTTATTCCCATTTTACAAATAAAGAATCTGAGGATTAGAATGGAGCTGCATACCTAGCCTGCCCCAGAGCAGGAATTGGAATCCAGACACTTTGCCTCCAAAGCCCTTCCTCAAAGATGTAGGAGAAGGTGATCTAAAACAGTGCAATGGTAGAGATCACAGTCCAGTTAGGAAAAGTGCACTCATTACACAGTGTTCCACATGAAGTCCAGGCCTTAGTGGATACTTTTGAAGTCACGTAGCACCGTCACCTATGTGTAAACCACCAAACTGAACTCAAGTAGACTTTGGAGTTGTTTGGCTAATGTCTGATTTTATAGACACAAATGTTCCTGGTGCTTTCTGTGAGTTGACTTACAAACTGCAGGGAACTGATGGCATTGTGTCTTTGTGATGGCTGCTTGTTTTTTGCAGAGATAGAGACAGGCCGATGTTTCACAGCAAAAATCCTAGGGTGGTCGGAGGCAGGGACACTTACACTATAAAATAACTCATTTGCATTAAATAAATCCTTAGCAATTAAGACAACTTGTAAGCATATTTTAATGCCACTGCTCTTTCAAAAATAGTGGTGAAGTTTCTTTTTTTTAGAAATAGATAGGTTGCAGACAAATTGTATCCCATTTTTATTGAAATTTGCTATAGTAGCAAAGTAATGTTTGTGTCAAGATATAATAATATTCTATTTAAGAATGAAACTCATTTTCATTTATTTAAAGGGAAAAACAATAGTTTGGGGATGACATTTAAATAATACTCTAATTTACCATATGTCATTATCTTCAGAAATTAGTAGATTACTGTCTGTGCAGAATACAATAGTTCTATTGACTCAAAGAAGAGGAGTACTAAATGATATTTAAAGGTCCCTTAAAACTAATTTTATGATTATATTTAAAAAATATTGATATATGGGTAACCACAATAGAGTAGGGTAAGGAACACAGAGCTGGGAATCCGAAAATTGATATTCTAATTCCATAATTTGTAAAATAACAGGAATCAAGAGTAAGTCATCATCTCATTTGACTAATGTCTCTCATATTGAATATGAGGATGCTGAAGTAAATCATTTATAAGATGACTTTAAGCTGTAAAATCTACAGCTTTAATGCATTTGAATCTCACTGCATTAAGATGATTTTGGATCACTTTGCTCGAGTTTGCAGTTTTAAATATCAGATCAATGGTATAAATAAAATATAAAAATAAGCCTTTTTTTTTTACAATTTAATGTATCTATACACCTGTTCTGTGAATATAATTCGTCTATATTTCCAGAAAAAATATAAGTTAGTCAGTCAGCAGGATATAAAAGATTCATTTATACAAAAAATAAACTTACAGTACATACAGCCTGGGTGTTATATTTGAATGATTATGTCAATATTGTGAGAAAAAAAGAAAATATCTGATGTAAATATAAAGTATATCCTTTTGTAATTATAAAGAATATCCTTTTCCTGCTCTTAAAAGGAAACATCGTAAATGGTTAAGAGTTAGCAATATTGGCTGGGTGTGGTGGCTCATGCCCGTAATCCTAGCACTTTGGGAGGCCGAGGTGAGTGGATCACGAGATCAGGAGTTCCAGACCAGCCTGACCAACATGGTGAAACCCTGTCTCTACTAAAAATACAAAAATTAGCCAGGTGTGGTAGTGCGTGCCTGTAATCCCAGCTACTCAAGAGGTGAGGCAGGAGAATCGTTTGAACCCAGGAGGCAGAGGTTGCAGTGAGCTGAGACCGCACCACTACACTCCAGCCTTGGTGACAGAGTGATACTCTGTCTCAAAAAATAGATAAATAATTAATAGTTAGCAATATTATTGAATGTGCAAAGAAGTACTGAACACCTCAACTAGTGCCCTGAACATACCATTTGATGTCATAACCAAGAGCAAGCAGTTTTAGATACATGAGAAGTCTCACAAATTAGAGTACATGCATTTATCAATGCCAATTTTTATAACATTCCCCAATATCTTGCCATCATGAACCACTAACATTTTCAGAGTTTTCCTTGATCATCTTGAGGGCAACCCATGACACCCTGGAATTAACAGCACCATTTGAATGAACAACATTATGAAGTGGCCAACAACACTACTTTGCCTCTTTAGGCTAAGTATGACGTCCTTTGAGCATGGTCTCAACATAAGCATTTTTATGTCTCACTTAACTCAAGCAGGGATCAAGTAGGATTAGACCCTGACTGTAGAAATAAAAGTTTTAAAATATGTTTTCATGAAATATTTACGGAATCATCTAATCTGTTGTTGGCTGGATTAACCAAATTTCCCCCCACACCCCTTCTGCCTGAAATACCCTTATGCTCATTTTGTCTATCTGAAAAATTCCTCTTTACTATTCCATGCAAGATCAAATATTGTCTCTTACAGGAAATCTCCCCATACACCCAGATAGAATCAATCATGTCCTTTCCTGTAGTCTCATAGCATGTTGCATACAGCTTCTTTAGAGTACTCACAGGCTGCATTAGAGATAATTGTTTATGTTTGTGCTTCTCATTGCTTAGAATTTGGTAGAGGAGTGGTTCATCATGGCATATTCCTGGACAATGAAAAAGTGATAAAGAACCACTAAAATAAATTGAAATTGGATTGCTAATAAAATTCAAACATTTCCAAAGCTGTTTGCACAAATTTATGGTATGCAAACCAATATAGATTGTACCCCAGAGTAGAGATTTAAAAAGAAAGAAGGAAAGGAAGAAATAAAGAAAGGAAAGAGTAAAGGATAGAGAGGGGTAGGAAGAGAGGAAAGAAGAAAGAAGAGAAGAAAGAAGGAAAGAAGGAAAGAAGGAAGTCCTTTGTCAGTTTTTATTCCTATATTTGGTATCATTCATATATGATTTCGTGGTGTAGCTACATGCCATTTCACCAACCCTGATACAGTAAGCTAGTGATTGCAGTAGTTAATAGGTTATTTTCACTAAGAATACAATTATCCTACATGGATATAGTAGCAAAACCTTGCTAAAAAATGCATAAAACCTTTTTGTCCTGATTTTCAATTTGGCAATATATTTCTCAGTTTACTATAAGTTTTCTGATCTCCAATTTTCCATTTTTCTTTTAATTTTTCAGTTTTATATTGTGGTTTTCTGAAATAGACATCTTAAAAATACATGACGAACTTTTAAATACGATAATGATCTAAATCACTCATTCACAGAAAAGGACATAATTTTGTAATACTTGATCTCAGAATTTCAGATTTCAGATTTCAGAGGTATTTTTGATGAGCATTCCTTCACAGAAAGTTGAATATTATATGGATTCAATGGAGCATGAGGTTAGTATGGGATTAGATTATGATAATGGGACAAAAAAAAAACAAAGAAAACTATAATTTGCAATTTATATATTCTGAACAACTAAAACAATTTATGAAGCTGTAAATATTAATTTGTACAAAACAGACAGACAAATTTTCAAGGTAATCCTGCCATTAATCTTCCCATGGGAAGTTAGTTCTTTCTGTTTCATTGTCATATGGATCATTTTTTCATCCTGCTGAGTAGCCTGAGTGGTGTCTTCTCCCTGCAATGACTTTTAGGTTAACTTTCACATTTTCTGGCTTCATGATATATCTTAGACATATTAAGACAAGGGTCATGTAATATTTTTATCAATATTTCCTCTATTATAGATTTATTTCTCTGATAATGCTGATAATGAGGGCTTTGAAAGGCGATCTCATAACTCTTCTGATTATTTTTCTCTAGCTTTTATTCATTTCTTATTGCATTACATTAATCTTTGATGTAAATATTGCTATGAACATCAAATTACTCTGCTTTGTTTTCCTGAATTGAACTGCTTTCTTCCTGCAAACAAACTCTCAGATGTTGGCTTTGTTGCTGAGTATCACTGATATTGAAGCTGACATTCACATAAACTATAATCACTGGCAATATCTACATGATTTAATTTAAACAATGTGTGGCAATTTCAATATTCCACGGGAAAACAAGCATCTATTAGAGGACAAAGAGGATTGTTCTTACCCAGATAGTAAACATTAATGTTACCACCTTCCATTAGAATAAACAATGTTGTGCATTATCTGTTTATGAATAGGTACTAACCTGTTTCACCATATCAGATTTCATTGTTGACATTTGGTTTAAGATTACAGCTGTTGGCTTCATGGCAGTGTTTCAGAATGCAGATGTGACTAGACTGGCTAAACAATTTGCTCTGGCCTTTCAGGTGCCTGGGTGTGAAGTCAGGGAAGTTTATAGCAAAGGCCCTTCTAAACAAAGCCTTTGCTGTTTTCCATCTAAATTAAGAACTAAAGTGGAAGCCAAAGCACAACAAATACAGGTCAAGAGGTCAGGGGACCAGTTCTGCCCTGCTTGCTGCTTCTGATGGACATCATTTCTGATGCTCTGTGGTCACTGAGGTGACAATGGCATGGTTATGGGGCCTGGATAGCATTTTAGTTGCATGACTCCTGTGACGTTAAATAAGTCACCTGACCTCTTAGGACCTCAAATTCATCATCTGTAAAATATGACCTAAAAGCCCTGCCTTTTAACAAGAGCGTTGTGAAAATTATATAAAATAATTATGCAAATATTTTGGAAGCAGGAAAATGTTATAAAATACCATTTATTGTCATTCATTCATTCATTCATTCCTCCACCTATTCAATATCTATTGAGCATCTTCCTTGCATCTTTGGACCTTTTCTTTTGTCTCTTGGGTCGCTGACAATCCACCACTCCCTGTCTAGCCATATCCACACCTGCCACTCTACACCCCTGTGTCTTAACTTTCCTTGATTTATCCTTCAAGACTCCGGTTAAGTGATACCTTTACTTTCCCTATC
This sequence comes from Homo sapiens, assembly GCF_000001405.40. NCBI lineage: Eukaryota > Metazoa > Chordata > Mammalia > Primates > Hominidae > Homo > Homo sapiens. The sequence continues at coordinate 36,544,404 of NC_000023.11, forward strand.
CAATGCATGCCCCTCTCAACAGTTAATTATTCCCTCTTTAGGCTAATATTCTACCAAGTACATAAGCAGGATTTTATGTTTTATTAGAATTGTTCTGGGCCCCTCTTGTTTTTGAAAGGCTTTGCTCTCAAAGAGTACATGTTCATCTTTGTACTGTTAATGCTGACCAGAGGATGCTGAGAGACTGAGGAGGTATGATGGAGGAACAGTGTGGAAAGAGGCTGGTAGGTGTGGTCCATATTATTTCAGCTTCAATGTGTATTTTGCAGAGGTGGCAAGGAAGGCTTAAACCTATGCTTTGTATACTGCAGGATTTATGTCTGTCCAGGCAGTCTAAAGAACTAGTCATGTGAATGAACAAAGTCCTGTTTACAAGAAGGTCTTGAGAAATTTCTCAGAGATAATAGTTTTTAAAAGATTCCTTAATCAATAAGGCATGTTTAGCCTTAATCTGTTAGCAGAAGAATAATTCTTATTCCAGAGTAGGGTGATATTCAGATGCCTCTAAACAGCATCCTTTTATGAACTCGTCTCTTAACTCGAGGGGAATAAATGTAAGATATCAAAGAGCTAATTTTAGTAAAACACCTCTTTATGAAATAAAAGCAGAATGCAGTGGCACCTTGTTATTTCCCAACTTCCATCCAACATAGGATATAACACAGAAGGGAAGAGAAATTCTCCCTAAGTTCTCAACAGAATAGAGCTTTGGTACCTCAGGGGTCATGGGACATCAGCAGTGATAGCCAGCAGAAGAAGCCTGGGCTTCAATTATAGCCACAGTATCCAGAAGAAGGAAAAAAAATGCCAATCAAAAGTGTCAAGAATCATGTGGCAGCATTGTTCACCTTTCCACAAAGCCTCACCTGAAGACAGGTGAGAACAGGATGATGATTAAGTGGCCCAAGACTCTGTTCCTAAGCAGTCACTTATTTGCTCTTAGACATCCCCTACACTTTCATTTTCCCCAGCCAATGTCACTCTCCATTTCACATAATCCTCTCATCCCATAATTTAGTGACATCTTTTATTCCTTCATACTGTTGTGTAAATTCCTTTTAGCTTGATTCCTCCCTCTGCCAGGAAAACATTATCAGCACCTTTGTGACCCCCAAGTGCCCATACAATTCTGTCCTCTTTTTGCTAGACCCAATTCAAGTGATTCCTTAGTGATGATCTAGGAGACACTAGGATTGCAGGGGGCTTGTCCTCCATCCTCTGGGCCAGGGGCTGGGAATGTGGGTTCTTGAGACAGAGTGCCCTGGTTTTAACGGGAATTCCACAGTTTATCTGCTCTTTAACAAATTCCTGTCTCTAAACCTCAATTTCCTTATCTGTAAAACGAGACCACAGATCATATCCACCCATGGTATTAGCTGGATTCACTGAGTTCATGCAGAAAGCAGTTAACACAGTAAGTAGCATGTTGAAACTGTTCAATAAAAGTTAGCTATGCTTATTATTCATTTACCTGCTGAGACCAGCTCGGTCGGGGAGACCCTAACCCAGCAGCGCTAGAGGAATTAAAGACACACACACAGAAATATAGAGGTGTGAAGTGGGAAATCAGGGGTCTCACAGCCTTCAGAGCTGAGAGCCCCGAGCAGAGATTTACCCACATATTTATTAACAGCAAGCCAGTCATTAGCATTGTTTCTTTAAATATCAGATTAACTAAAAGTATCCCTTATGGGAAATAAAGGGATGGGCCGAAATAAAGGGATGGGTTGGGCTAGTTATCTGCAGCAGGAGCATGTCCTTAAGGCACAGATCACTCATGCTATTGTTTGTGGTTTAAGAATGCCTTTAAGCAGTTTTCCACCCTGGGTGGGCCAGGTATTCCTTGCCCTCATTCTGGTAAACCCACAATCTTCCAGCGTGGGCATCATGACCATCATGAAAATGTCACAGTGCTGCAGAGATTTCGTTTATGGCCAGTTTGGGGGCCAGTTTATGGCCAGATTTGGGGGGGCCTGTTCGCAACATTTTCCCACTCCATTTTGTGAACCCACAATTACTTTTCCAGATAGGCTAGGAACTTTTGGGGAGGAGAGAACGGTCTCTGTATTTCTTTCATCTTTATATCGCCATTACTTAGTACAATGCCCTGGCTTGGCTTGTAATACACGTACAATAAATAATTGCTAAGATGCATGCATTACTGAATAATTAACTGAATGAAGAATATGGTAATAACATATGGACTTTTTATATTTGTTCAGCAGGTGCTGTCTTCAAGAATGACAAGTAGACAGAGGAAATAATGCCACTAAAGGAGAGTTGAAGAAAATCAAGTCTGTAGTGTTAATTCTGGGGTTATATGGATGGTTCCTCCAAGAAGTCATTTGTCCAGCATGACTTTTTGCAGTCAGTAGAATATGGTTAACCAAGAACTTGATGTCTCTCTATTGTTCTATTTATTATTCCATTAGTTGCTTACCCTTTAACCTTTTTAAAAAAGTTCTTGTATAGTTTTACTTCCTTTTATCTTAGTTCCAGATAGTTTAACTTGTTAAAAGCATTATAATTTTTTTAGCCATTGAAAGACTTTATTCTATTGAAAACAATAAAAGCCGTGCTCTCACGCCTCTAATCCCAGCACTTTGTGAGGCCGAGGCAGGCAGATCACGAGGTCAGGAGATCAAGACCATCCTGGCTAACACATGAAACCCCACCTCTACTAAAAATGCAAAAAATTAGCCAGGTGTGGTGGCAGGCTCCTGTAGTCCCAGCTACTTGGGAGGCTGAGGCAGAAGAATCACTTGAACTTGGGAGGAGGAGGTTGCAGTGAGCCGAGATCGTGCCTCTGCACTCCAGCCTGGGTGACAGAATGAGACTCCATCTCAAAAAAAAAAAAAAAAAAAACAAAAAAAACCCCAGCCCTGCTCAACATGACATCATTTGTTAAAAAAATCCCATGTTTCCCCAAAGTGTACATTGTTTTGTTTACTCTTTTAGTTTCTTACATTTATTTGCTTCCTCATTTTGAACTTAAGTTTCCTTTTTTTGGTGCCAGTTTTCTGGGGACAGTCTCATACTGTCCTTTTTTATTTTAATTAAACTTAAAATTTTGAGATTATTGTAGGTTCACATGCAGTTGTAAGAAGTGATACAGAGAGAGTCTACGTAGCTATTACCCAGTTGGTTCCAATGGTAACAGCTTGCAAAATTATAGTACAATATCACAATCAGAATATTGACCTCTATCCTTGTGATGATGGAAATGTTCCTTTAACCTTTTTTTTTTCTATACTTTAAGTTCTAGGGTACATGTGCACAATGTGCAGATTTGTTACATACGTATACATGTGCCATGTTGGTGTGCTGCACCCATTAACTCGTCATTTACATTACGTATATTTCCTAATGCTATCCCTCCCCCCTACCACCACCCCACAACAGGCCCCGGTGTGTGATGTTCCCCACCCTGTGTCCAAGTGTTCTCATTGTTCAATTCCCACCTACGAGTGAGAACATGCGGTGTTTGGTTTTCTGTCCTTGCAATAGTTTGCTGAGAATGATGGTTTCCAGCTTCATCCATGTCCCTACAAAGGACATGAACTCATCCTTCTTTATGGCTGCATAGTATTCCATGGTGTATATGTGCCACATTTTCTTAATCCAGTCTATCATTGATGGGCATTTGGGTTGGTTCCAAGTCTTTGCTATTGTGAATAGTGCACAATAAACATATGTGTGCATGTGTCTTTATAGCAGCATGATTTATAATCCTTTGGGTGTATACCCAGTAATGGGATGGCTGGGTCAAATGGTATTTCTAGTTCTAGATCCGTGAGGAATCGCCACACTGTCTTCCACAATGGTTGAACTAGTTTACAGTCCCACCAACAGTGTAAAAGTGTTCCTATTTCTCCACATCCTCTCCAGCACCTGTTGTTTCCTGACTTTTTAATGATTGCCATTCTAACTGGTGTGAGATGATATCTCATTGTGGTTTTGATTTGCATTTCTCTGATGGCCAGTGATGATGAGCATTTTTTCATGTGTCTGTTGGCTGCATAAATGTCTTCTTTTGAGAAGTGTCTGTTCATGTCCTTCGCCATTTTTTGATGAGGTTGTTTTTTTCTTGCAAATTTGTTTGAGTTCATTGTAGATTCTGGATATTAGCCCTTTGTCAGATAGGTAGATTGCAAAAATTTTCTCCCATTCTGTAGGTTGCCGGTTCACTCTGATGGTAGTTTCTTTTGCTGTGCAGAAGCTCTTTAGTTTAATTAGATCCCATTTGTCAATTTTGTCTTTTGTTGCCATTGCTTTTGGTGTTTTAGACATGAAGTCCTTGCCCATGCCTATGTCCTGAATGGTATTGCCTAGGTTTTCTTCTAGAGTTTTTATGGTTTTAGGTCTAACATTTAAGTTTTTAATCCATCTTGAATTAATTTTTGTATAAGGTGTAAGGAAGGGATCCAGTTTCAGTTTTCTGCATATGGCTATCCAGTTTTCCCAGCACCATTTATTAAATAGGGAATCCTTTCCCCATTTCTTGTTTTTGTCAGGTTTGTCAAAGATCAGATGGTTGTAGATGTGTGGTATTATTTCTGAGGGCTCTGTTCTGTTCCATTGGTCTATATCTCTGTTTTGGGTAAACTCACATGTTGCTTTTTTCTTTTAAATGAACAGTGAACCATTGACTAGAAGTAAAATATATAAATGAGAACTAGGAAATATGAATAAGTCTCAGAGATAGCAGGCATTTTCAGTATATAAAAAAAAACAAGTTCTTTCAAAGGCTACATAGGAAGAGTCTTTTATTTGAATGAGACAAATATCAGTATGAGCAGACTTCCACAAGTCTCATATCTCTTTATTTTGTTCTCTTCATCCTGTACTTGGTTAGCCATATTTTGGTCTATTTTCTTTTATTTTTTCTAGGCAAAGTTTTTACAGAAGTATAACAGAGATTCAGATGTGTAACAGATTATAGGTGGACAACTTGCGTTTTTAGAAAATGAACATACCTGTGAAGCCAGCACCCACATCAAGAAACAGAATATGACTACCCTGTCCAAAACTCCTTCCTCATATGACCCTTCAGTCACTACCCAGCAGGAGCCTCAAATTTTACTTCTTTTATGAAATATTTTAAACACAGAAGAAAGAATACTCTCATGAACCTCTATGTACCCACAAACCAGCATTGTCAAAACTTAGTATGATACCACATTCCACATCTGCTGTAGCTCTTTTTTGTTTCTTTCTTTTTTTTTGAAAGAAAAATTCTAAATATACTTCCGATATCTCAGATAAATGGAAGTTTTAATGAACAACATTCACTGCACATACATAAATATCTTTAAAGCATCTACCATGTGCCAAGTCATTACACATGGATGTCCTCTATTTTAAAATAATACATGTACATAATTATGAAATAAATGTAAATGATTCAAAAATTATGCCAGAAAAATACATCTCCTTTGCCTGTGAGAATGTAAAATGCTGCGGCCTCTGTGAAAAAATCTGCTGGTTCCTCAAAGTTAAACGTAGAGTTACCATATGACCCAGCAATTTCACCCCTAAGAATATATCCCAAATATTTTCAAAAAGAGACTCAGATACTTGTATGCCATTGTTCATAGCAGCATTATTCACAATAGCCAAATGTACAAAGTGCCCAGCAACAGATAAATGGATAAGCAAAATGTGATATATACCTAGAGTGGAAAAGTATCCAGCCATAAAAAGAAAAGAAGTTCTGATACTGCTGCAACATGGATTAAACTTGAAGCATTTTGTTAAGCAAAATGAGACAGATACACAAAAAAGAAAAACATGTATGATTAGACGTGTATAAAATATCTAGAATAGGCAAAATCTTACAAACAAACAGTAAATTAGAGGATAGCAGGGGCTAGGGGCAGGGAAAAAGTTGAGGAGTTATTGTTTAGTGGGTACAGACTTTCTTTTTGGAGTGATGAAAAGTTTTGACACAGATAGTGGTGATGGCTGCACAATGATATATATATATAATAATTGTCACTAAATTGTACACTTCAATAATAATTAAAATGGCAAATATGTTATATACATTTTATCACAATGAAAAAAGTAAAAAAGGCCAGATGTGGTAGCTCATGCCTGTAATCCCAACACTTTGGGAAGCCAAGGCGGGAGGATCACTTGAGCCCAGGAGTTGAGACCAGCCTGGGCAATGTAGGGAAACCCTGTTTCTACAAAAAATAAGCCAGGTGTGGTGGCCCACTCCTGCAGTCCCAGCTACTCTTGAAGCTGAGGCGGGAAGATGACTGGAGCACAGGAGGTTGAAGCTGCAGTGAGTCATGATCTTGTCACTGCACTCCAGCCTGAGCGACAAAGAGAGACCCTGTCTCAAAAAAAAAAAAAAAAAAGAAAGAAAGAAAGAAAGAAAAAGGAAAAAAAAAACCCATAGATAGCATAGATAGACAATAATTGCAGACAGAAGGCAACAGGATAATATACTTATATTGAGAAATAATAAGTTCAAACCTAAAAATGTATACTCAAATAAACAATCACTTACAAATACAGGGCCAACAAAGACCTTTCAGATGAACAAAAGACACATTGGGGGAAGATATTTTTAATTCAAATAAATGATAAAATATTAGTATCTAGAGTAAATTTTTTGAAAGCTTATAAATCATCATGAATAAGACAAATCAAGAGAGAAATGGACAAAGTATCTGAAACAGCAATTCACAAATAAAGGAAACATTAGTGATCGATAAACACAGGAAAAATTGTTTAGCCTCATCCTCCTGCCTCAGCCTCCTGAGTAGCTTAGCCTCATTAGGAATCAGAAACATGCAGAGTAAAACATCATTTATACCCATCACATCAGGAAAAAAATTAAAGTTGGATAATATGAAATTTGGTGAGATTTCAGTGAGAAAAGCACTATTATACTTTACTAATGAATAGGATCATATACCGTGAAAGGCAAGTTGTTAATACACATATCCTGAATTTAGCAATGACACTTCTGAGTATCTACCAAAAAGAAATAGTCCACATGTAAACAAGGAAACAAGCACAAGAATGTTCATTATAGCATTGTGTTAATAGAAAACTTTTAGAAACCACACTTTGGATATTAAAATGGCTAAATAGGATTTAGTGTATCGTGGAATATAATATTCTGCAGCATACAAAATGAATTAACTGGCTCTCTACATTTATCAACAAGTACACATGAATCCATAAAATTTAGAGAAGAAAGCAAATTTGACACTAATTACATGCATAATTCTACCATTTATATAGAAAAACACAAAACAGTGTTGTATATTTTTCTCGTACATATGTGGATGCAAAATTAAGATTTTTTTTAAGTGTAAATATATTTCTGAGGAGTCTGGAAGGGATCAGAATAGAGGATAGTCAAAGGAGACTTTCACTTTACCTGTACTCATCTATTTTTTTGAGTGTATGTTAGTATATTGCACATGCATTTTTTTAAAAATTGGGAAAAAATCTTTCTGAGAAGAAATGTAGTAAATTAATAGTGGTTACCTCTGGAAAGGAGCGTAGAAGAGTATTAGGTGGTCAATGGGAAACTTTTTCTCTAATTTTCTAATTTTTTTCTATCTTTAAATTTTTTTCTCTCAAATCTTCTGCATTTTACTCGGTATGTATTCACATACTACATGTTTTTAAATGTTGAGCACATGATTGTAAGTTTCCTGAAGCCTCCCCAGCCATGCTGAACTGTGTGTCAATTAAACCTCTTTCCTTTATAAATTACCCAGTCTCAGTTATGTCTTCATTAGCAGCATGAGAATGAAATAATACACATACCAAGCCTGACAGCCAATCTGGAATGTTGATGTTGTTTACATGGGAATTGCACTGAATCTGTACATTGCTTTGGGCAATATGAATACCCAGATTTTAAGGAGGTCCTTGATAGTCCTGGAGCAGGAAACACACCCTGGAGGATCCTTGATCATCCTGGTCTCTCCCATTCATGTACGATTAATAGAATATATTTATGCATATTCAATGCTTTTGTAAAGAAAATTTGAGGTTTTCACTAATTTATATATTTTAATTCTCTTTTGTGGGATAGATATTATCTTACACATTGCTTGAAATTTTAACAAGAGGTTTATAGTCAAAGTTTTTTTCCTATGTTGTTCCCACCCATATTACTCTCAGTCACCAAGGACAGCACATGTCATCAGTTTCTTCTAGAGTTATACACATTTTATGTGTGTGTATATATATAAATATATGTGTGTATGTATATATATATTTCATATAGAGTATATCCATCTACTACCCCATTTTTTCTTGCATTTACTTTACTTTTTAACTCAAAACAACTTGAAGTTTGCTTCTTATCAGTGTATGATTACTTTGTTGATTTTTCAATATTTTCTTCTGTGAATGCACAGTAATTTAGAGAGCCCATCCCCTACTCACGAACATTTGTTTCCAGATTGCTATTACAAACTTTCCTACAAGAGTAATCTTGTATTTATGTCATTTCACAACAATGTACGCAAGTATAACTTCAGAATAAATTCTTAAATGTGGAATTACTGATTCCAAGGATAGGAGCATTTGCAATTTTGATGGGTTTAATAAAATTTATATTCCCTTCAGTAATTATGAACTTGCCTTAACCCATTACATACTCACAGAAACATTAACTAATTTATCCTTAACCAATATATTCCATTTGATTTTTACTTCCACTTCAGAAGTGTAAATATCTAATTGACACTGATGTAATGTTGATTTATTTTTTAACACATGAGATTTAATAATAAACATATTGCAAGGGGTGCATTTATATATGGTTTATTTGTAATGTTAACATGACTAGTTGAAAAATCGAAACAAAATTCAGTAGAACAATCTTTAACAATGAAGGAAGACATCTGAGAACAGTTTCTTTCCAAACTGATTGATTTAATAAAAAATGATTTTGCTTCCTATTAAAGTATCTAAAAAGTTTTGTAGATTCCAAAATATTTACTTGATTAAACTAAAAGTTATTACCCCTTACTTTTATTAAATCAATCCTTTCTTTTTCTGAAGTTGTTGCTACTTCTATAAATATACATATTTATATTTATATATAAATGTAAATATAGATGTATATATAAAATGTATAAATATGTAAATGTACATATACACATATTTACATATAAATGTAAATATATATAACATATATACATATGTAAATATATACAAAAATATTTGTGATATGTGGTACCTTCTGGCCTAAGCAATCTGAATTTGAATCCTGTATGTTGGCAAACTTTTAAAATTAATTGAATCACTAATTAAGTTGTTACTAAGAGGCTTTGTTTTTTGTTTTATTTTTGCTTTAAATTTAACATCTAAACATTTCCCCTATTGGGATCAGGGGAGCAAAAGAGATGAGAGTACCCAGGGTTGATTGAATCCTTGTATGATGTCCTGGTGACTACAGAAGTGCTAATAATGGGTGCCCAGTTACAGATTATCAGTATCAACCTCAGCATTTTTAGATCACTATTCCTTTGATGTGATCTTGGGTGTGCCCAACCAGTGCCTACCAAATTACTGAGCCTGGTACTTTACCCTTCCTGCAGATTCCATGCTATCTTTGTAAAAAACTTCTTTTCCTGCCTAAGTGAGCCATAGTTGTCACTTGTTTTGTTCCAAGTGAAAATCTTGACTAAACTCAATAGTAAACAGGCATGCATTTAATCCTTGATTTATAATTGTTTGAATTGGTCAAACTTATATGATGAGTGACTTATAAGCAGATATTGACTATTAACATGTTATCAATAAAAGGCATTACAGATGATACAATACAGATTAAAACCTGTATGTTAATTAGAGCTTGTAGTCCATATTGAAAAGGAAGTGTTTCAAAGTTTTATTGTAGTGTCATTTCATACCAATGTACACTGTAAAGACACTTACAACTTCACACTTTAAGTCTGACATAAGCAGTATAACTTCTGAGCAATTTTTTGAGAGAGGATTTCTGGAATTCTTTCAGTTCCTTAAGATTACAGTTGTGTCTGCCTCCATGGAACTTTATTTCCCATCTATGTATTCAAGTATTCTCAAGATGAAAGAACTAAAGGGGAAAAAAACATTGTACCAGTCATTTAGGCACTTGAGAGTAGGTATTATCTCCAAGGGGAATACATATGAAAGAATATGTTATTTTCCATGATTTGCATTTAGAAATATTAACTTAGATTTTCTTCCAACTGAAGAAACTAAAACAGAAATTAAAAGCAACAGTATCACATCTCTATAGCAAAGAATATAAGGATTTTCTGTTCCATAACCTGAAGCCTATGAGTGTTATTCCCTGCGAAAGGTATTTATCGATCATTATATTTCAGGGGAATTCATAGAATGTATGTATCTATAATAATGTAATTGCCTAAAAGACAGAAAAAAAAACTGACAACAGTGACTTAAACACACAGAAGTGCATTTTTATTACCTAACCTGTGAAGAGGTATCCTGTGCAGTAGGACGTCCTCAGGGAATCTTGGCTCCTTCCCTCTTCCCACTCCATTATTCTTCACTTGAATTTCAAGTATAAAGAAAGAAGAGCCAAAAGCTTTCTCCTTCCAAAGCTTGTTTATTGATTTTTTGAAGGACTTTTACATCCATTTATTTACTTAATTACTGCTCATCTGGCCATTCTGGCTGCAAGGAACGGTGAGCCACTGCTAATTAGCTGTCTACTCTGCAGTGGAGAAAGGCAGGAGAAACGGGATTGTAAAGAACTTTTGAGTAGCCAATGAACATATTCCCCCACTGTATGTTTCCCTGTTAGAGTAAGTTTAAAGCACTTTTAATGAATTGAAACAACTAATCAAACTTGCTTTTTGTTTCCATATTTGATGGTAGGTTTATCTGAAAGGACCCAATCATTAGTTGTTTTGCTGACACTTGGATAAATATGTAGAGAAGGACTAGTGCCTTTGGGAAAATTACACAATACCAAAATTTTAAAAAATATACTTGGCCAAGGAAATATTTTGCTTGTGAAGCAGAAGCGTGAAAAAGTTATCTAAGAGTTCAATTTCTGTCTGGGAAGTGTGTATTTGTTTCCTAAATAACCATGAGTGCAGACCAAGTCTTATAATGCCACTTTCTTCAAAGAAGCAACGATAGGTCATTTGAAATTTGAAGGTCATTTAAAACTCTGCCCTAGACAAATAGAGTCTGATTTTGTCAAATATATTCATGCTTTTGGGATATGGCACATTTGAAAGAAAAGCCTACATTAAATGTCATGCATTACTTTAGATATTAAATAAAAATGAACTCTAAGTACAGTTTTCTAAGAATCTATAGTTCCCTTTTTTTCTATTCAATTTTATTTTTTCAGAAAGCTGTTCCTTTTTTGTCAGTTTAATTTTGCTTGCTGGTGCAGACTGTGTTGTGATATGATATGCTGATTTGGTCTCTCTTCTCATGTTATATGATGTCACCCAATAGGGGTCTGCATTGCTGAATTATACTTCCCTTTGGATATGTCAAACCTGTGGCTCTAATTTACTTTTTGTCAATTATGACTTTGAGAGCAAATGAACCTATGTGCTGAAGACACATGTATATGTTGCCTCAACCCCTACACCTCCACACACATTGATGTATTTGTAGAAACTCAAAGAAAGTGAGTAATTACAAAGCATTTGATGTAACATTTTCACAAATTGGTCTTCATAACTTGTTATGCATTCCACTTTCTCAACTTTTTTAAAAAAACACACAATATATAATAAATAGGTGAATAGGGACAAGCTGTTTCTTACAGTATAATTCCAATTAATACATGAAAAAGGAATGATGAAAAATGAAAATTTTATTTAGTCAAACACTAGAGAACCATCACTGGATGCTAAAATTAGTAGGTAAAGTGTGACCAGAAACAGAATACTTGCCTCATCACAAAGTATCTCCCCACAAAATACAGATTAATATAAAGTGAAAAATGGTAACTTTACGGTAGAGGAACGTGGCAGACAGTAACTTACCCACCTGAATACATTTCACATTGCCAGTATGAGACAGTCTTTCTGCACCTCTTCCTGACAGGATCCAGAGAAGGGCACAGCATCACCTGACATCCTTATGGCTCTGCAGGCTCTCCTCAGAATACAGGGCTCCTTCACATCTCTTTTTGCTAAGGTGACCTCCAAGCTCATATTTCAACCTTATAGGTATATCTTGCCTCAAGGCCAAGGAATTCTCAATTTCTCCAGGAAATTTCTGCGAATATTTTATACACAGAAGGCTGAGTTAGTGTAATAGGGGATATAAACAGAATAAAACATACTGTTCAGCCTCCCCAAGTTCAGAGATTAACCAACGATGCATAAATCTGAGTATGTAAATATAAGAAAAATGTAACCAAGGTCTATGATGCAGGTAGAAGCAGTGTCACCAGCACTAGTGAGCTAGACCTAGACATAATGAGCACTGGTTACTATGTTTAGACTCTTCCATGGTTCACACTTCTGGGGAAGACATGCATCCTCACTTAAGAACCATAAAATCACAAGACAGTATGTACGAACAAAGGGAAAGCAGAAAGTTTTGGATGTACTGGTTCAAACCTATGCTAGACTGTCATTCTGATATGATACAAAATATTATCTTCTACTTCTCTTCATTCATTTTATCCCTCAAATTGCCCTTCCATGTTCTCTCTCCCCTTCTCGAGCACATTCTTTCTATTCTTCTGTTTTCAATGTGGCAACAAAAATTTCACAATTATATTGATATCCATGACCTCTTATTTTTAAGTCAACTTAGACTTCACAATTATACTTTTATGATCTTTAGAATTGATAACCACTAAAAAATGTACATATATATGAATGAATCTTGAACAAATAAACAAATAAATATCTCTTTACCCTTTGATGCATAAAAGTTAAATTACCACATGTGTTTGGAACTGATTTAAACATTTTCTTTTCTGAAGGTCAGAATATCATCAAGAAGGATCTTTGAAGTACATTCTAATTTTGTATCATCTTCCCGTTCAAGGCACTTCAACAAAAGATCGCCTTGCACTTACACATAGCCATGAATACTGGTATCATGTGTCACTGATTAGCAGACTGTTTCTGGAGATACTGTGTAGCAATTGTATTGTGCGGATAGTATTTGAAAATGGAGGACCAAAGAGTCATTCAGCAGTGGAAACAATGAGTTACAGAAGCTAGGGTATCATTACATTACTGGTTGGGGAAATACCTGGAAGAACAAGTTAAAGATTAGCAAAAAGAAGTTAGTATAGTACACAAAGAAAGTCATCAATTTCCCTGTGAGGAAAGGAGATAGTAATACAAAAATTACAAAATGTACTATTGCTGTGTAAATTAAATTCCTTCATTTTCCCTGGGAGTACTAGGTTTGTGTTCTGTTTTGTAATAAAATGTAATGCACCTCATAAATATATACACCTACTATGTACCCACATAAATTTAAAATATAAAACATTATAATAAAATGTATTAAAACTTTAATCCTGTTTTATAATGTAATTTAAAATAAATTACAATTGGTATATGTGTGGTGTTTACCTTGCACAAATAGGTTTCTCTCACACAATCTTATGTGTTTTTCACAATAGTCCTGTGAGATTGGCATGGAAAATATTTTCACTTTATACTTGAGAGAGCTGAATCTCAGTAAGGGCTGATACTTTGTCCAAGTTAAATTGGTCTAACACACAGCAAATTGAGTTCTCAACACCACACTTCCTGTTCCAAGGACCATGCTCTTCACAAATCACTCAGCTCATCAGAAATCTGCTAGAGAAACAAGCTGCCAATAGTTGTTTTCTGATAAGTTATTGATCTAGACTCTTTGTTTAAATTCCTTGACTTTTAAGCAACCCAAAAAGAAATAATGGGGAACTTCTAGTACAACCTAAGAAAACATAACTTTGAAGATGTTCCAAAAGAAGAAATTAAGAATCAATTGGAGCCATGCATTGTGAAGCCAAAGGCCTTTTCTCTATCATAAAGGTTTCAGGGAGAGTGACTACCTTTTTTTTTCTTCCATCTACTCCCCTCCACTCCCTGCTTAGCACCAATTATGGATATCATTGCTATCTTACAGAATCCCAGGGAGATGGAGGGCACTAACAAATGCATCATTCTTCCCCTAACCTGCTTGTTAGTCAATCAAACATCTAATTTATATATTGAGTATGTCTTGCAGAATGGTTTATAGATATTTCCTTTTATAATATTCTCCAGGAAGATAGGATACAATGCAGACAGTTCAATAGATTGTTTTTACAAAGCTGTCATATCTTCAAAAAATTACAAAAATGTGCTGCATCCTTGAGAGATAGCCGGAAACAGTGCAACACAGTGAAAAAAGAAACCATACAGATGTCCTTTGAGAGCCTTTAACCCATCAGTCAATGTCCTCCTCTAGAGTCACTTCTATTCACAGCACTAAAATGAATAAATATCCTGTATAGCATCTTTTAGGTGAAAACAGTTCATGAAGCTGTTTGACATTATTTAATTTTTAGTGCCATATTTCCACAGCTTTTTCCTTTGAGGAAAGTGTTTATGTAAGATTATTTATTTTAAACCAGTGCACTGATGTTAAATAGATGCTCATTCACACATAGGTGTTACCTAAACCCACTGACAATTTCAGCTTCTGACTGATTCATTGTTCAAACTCCTGACATTTTCCTGAACCTATCACAACTCATAAGGAACTCTCAACAAACTATAAACTGTCCATAAAGAGCCACTAAATCAAGCAGAACTTTTGTGTGCGTGTGTGTGCAATTTTTCCATCTTTTGTGAGGTATAATTAACAAAAAATTGCATAAATTCAAGGTGTACATGTCATGATTTCATATACATATGCATTGTGAAATGACTACCACAATTTAATTAACATCTACCACTACATCTTTCCCCTCCTCTCCCCACACCCTCAGCCCCTAAGAACCAGGTTTCTACTCTGCTTCTACGAGTTTTACTTTTTATATTTTACATATTAATAAGATCACATTATGCAGTATTTGCTTTTCTGTGTCTGGCTTATGTCACTTAACATAGTATCCTCCAGTTTGAGCCATGTTGCCACAAATGGCAGGATTTACTTATTTTTTTATGGCTGAAAAATACCACATTTTCTTTATCCATACATCCATCAACAGACACTTCTAGGTATATAACCAAATAAAATAAATTCAGTATCTTGAAGAGATATCTGCACCCCCATGTACATTGTAGTTGTGTGATCATGAGCTTGAGGGTGCAGATATCTCTTCAAAATACTGAATTCATTTTCTTTGGCTATTTACCCAGAAGTGGGATTGTTGGATGGTATGTTAGTTCTAGCTTTAATTTTCGGAGGAATCTCCATATTGTGTTGCATAGTGGCTATATCAATTTACATGTCCACCAAAAATGTACAAGGCTTCCTTTTTTTCTACATATTTACCACTTTTTGTCTCTCATCTTTTTGATAAGTAGCCATCTACACAAGTGAGAGATGATATCTCATTGGGGTTTTGATTTACATTTCTGTGATTATTAGTGATGCTGAGCATCTTTTCAAACACTTGTTATCTAGTTGCATATCTCCTTTGGAAAAATGTCTATTCAGGTCCTTAGGCCATTTGTTACTTGAGTATTTATTTATTTGTTTGCAGTTGAGCTGTTTGATTTCTTTATATATTTTAGATATTAACCCCTTAACAGATACATAGTTTGCAAATATTTTCTCTCATTTCAGAAGTAGCTTTTGAATTTTGCTGATTATTTCCCTTGCTGTGGAAAAGCTTTCTAGTTTGATGTAGTCCTACGTGATTATTTTTGTTTTTGTTGCTTTGCTTTTGGTGTCATAGTGAAAATTCATTGCCATGACCAATAACAGGGAGATTTTTCTCTATATTTTCTTCTAGGACGTTTAGTTTCAGGTCTTATATTTAAACCTCCATTTCTAGTTATTTTTTATATGTAGTTTAAAGTAAGTGTCCAGTTTATTATTTTTGTAGGTGAATATGTAGTTTTTCCCTACCATTTATTTAACAGACTATCCTTTGTCCATTGTGTATTCTTGGTGTCCTTGTCAAAGATAACTTGACTGCACATGTGTGAGTTTATTTTTTATCTCTATATTCTGTTTCATTTTTTTAAACTTTATTTTAAATTCAAGGTTACATGTGCAGGTTTTTTATATAGGTAAACTTGTGTCATGGGGTTTGTTGTACAGATTACTTTTTCACCCACGTTTTAAGCTTAGTAACCACTGGTTATTTTTCCTGATCTCCCTCCTCCCACCTGCCACCATAAAGTAGGCCCCGGTGTCTGTTGTTCCCCTCTATGTACCCATGTAATCTCATTGTTTAGCTCACACTTAAAAGTAAGAACATGCAATTTTTGGTTTCCTATTTCTGCATTAGTTTGCTAAGGATAACGGCCCCCACCTCCATCCACATTCCTACAAATTTGTTTATTGGTTCTACAAGCTCTTTGGTGGAGTCTTTAGGGGTTTCTTTTCCTTCCTTCCTTCCTTCCTTCCTTCCTTCCTTCCTTCCTTCCTTCCTTCCTTTTCTTTCTTTCTTTCTCTTTCTTTCTTTCTTCCTTCCTTTTCTTTCTTTCTTTCCCTCTCTCTTTCTTTCTTTCCTTCCTTCCTTCCTTCCTTCCTTCTTCCTTCTTCCTTCCTTCCTTCCTTCCTTCCTTTCTTTCTTTTTCTTTCTTTCTTTCTTTCTTTCTTTTTCTCTCTTTCTTTTCTTTCTCTTACTCTGTTGCCAAGGCTGGAATTCAGTATCCGATCTTAGCTCACTGCAACCTCTGCCTCCCAGGATCAGGATCCTCCCGCCTCAGCCTCCCAAGTAGCTGGGTCTAAAGGTGTGTGCCACTATGCCCAGCTAATTTTTGTATTTTTTGTAGAGACAAGGTTTTGCCACGTTGCCCAGTATAGTCTAGAACTCCTGGACTCAAGTGATCTGCCTGCCTCGGGCTCCCAAAGTGCTGGGATTCCAGGCATGAGCTACTGTGTCTGGCCAGTCTTTAGGGTTTTCTATATACAGCCATGCATCACGTACTGACAGGGTATGTTTTGAAAAATACATCGTTAGGTAATTTCATTGTGTGAATAACATAAAGTGTACTTACCCAAACCTAGATGGTATAGCTACTATGCACCTAGGCTCGATAGTACAGTTTATTATTCCTGGGCGGCAAACCTGTACAGCATGTTACCATACTGAACACTGCAGACAATTGTAACACAATAGTGTATTTGTGTATCTAAACACAGAAAAAGTACAGTAAAAATACAGTGTAAAAGATAAACAATGGTACATCTGTATTGAGCACTTATCATGAATGGAGCTTGCAGGTCTGGAAGTTGCTCTAGGTGAGTAAGTGAGTGAGTGGTGAGTGAATAAGAAAGCCTAGGACATTACGGTACACTACTGTAGATATTATAAATGCCGTACACTTAGACTACAACAAATGTATTAAATAATTACTTTTTGTTCAATAATAAGTTGATGTTAGCTTACTGTAACTCTTTTACCTTATAGACTTTTTATTTTTTTAAAAGATTTTTACTCCTTTGTAATAACACTTTGCTTAATACACAAATTGTATAGTAGTACAAAACTTTTTATATCCTTATTCTACAAGCTTTTTCTATTACAACAATTTTTTTAACATTTTAAACTTGTTTCTTAAACACTAAGACACAAACTCACACATTAGCCTAGACCTATACAAGGTCAGGACCATCAATATCACTGTCCTCCACCTCCACATCTTGTCTCACTGAAGGCCATCAGGGGCAATAGTATGCATGGATCTGTCATCTTCTACAATAATAATGCCTTCTACTGGAATGCTTCCTGAAGGCCCTGCTTGAGGATGTTTTACAGTTAACCATTTTTTTTAAATAAGTGAATTAAGTACACTGTAAAATAATGATGAAAATGTATAGCGTAATAAATACAAAATGAGTAACAGTCATTTATTATGTTTATCAAATATGTACTGTACATAATTATATGTGCTAGATTTTTATACAACTGGTAGCACAGTACATTTGTTGATGCCAGCATCACCACAAACATGTGAGTAATGCATTGCATGATGAAGGCTAAGATGTCTTAGGCAATAAGAAT
The DNA here is from genome assembly GCF_000001405.40 of Homo sapiens. Lineage (NCBI taxonomy): Eukaryota > Metazoa > Chordata > Mammalia > Primates > Hominidae > Homo > Homo sapiens. Next base: position 36,562,549 of record NC_000023.11, read on the forward strand.
TTTTCAGCTCCATTATAATCTTATGGGACCATCGTTGTACATGTCGTCTGTCATTGATCCAAATGTCATTATGAGGCAAATGGCTGTGTAAAATCATGTCATCTGCAAACAGATACAATTTAACTTCTTCCTTCCTGATTTGAAGGCATTGTATTTCTTTTTCTTGCCTTATTACTTTTAAGCAGAAAGATTAAGAGTGGAAATATCTGAAGGTTGTGTGACCTTAGTAGTAATCAAGATGAAATGAGTAAATGAAGGGGTGACATTCTATTGGCTCAGTGATATACCTTTCTGACTAGTATTTTCTATATGCTTAGGTCCTCATTTGTTTTATTTGATTATATATACACATATATGTATTATATTTTTAAATTAGAGGGCCGCACCTTTCCCAATCCAACCTTACCATTCTCACTACCATTCTCAGGGGTCACATGTAAAATAAGTGAAACTACATCACTTTAACCGCTTTTTTCAAAGCCATCACTAATTCCAGTGGAATTCCTCTGTCAGTCCTTGGTTAGTAAATTATACCTGCTGACCCCATGTAGAATCTCACTGAAGAGTGGGGAAAATTCATCACTGTTGGGTTAAAAATGGCTTATAGAAGCTGGGGAAATATTTTAGTTTTTCTTTGTGATTGAATCACGTGATCAAAGTCAATAGCCTGCAAACATGACTTACATCAATATATTTGCTCTGTTTTTGTTTTTTTAAGAATGGGTTTTTTTCTCACCATGGGTTCTGTAGAACTCTAGTTTGGTCAATTTGCAAGATAATAAATATTCCATTAGCTACAATCTCCAGGGAAACTGCAATTGCTTTTAACAAATTTTGTCTTTATTTTATTGAGGATTTTGGGGAGAGTAGCCACTTTCTTTTTCTCCACTCTCCTCATTTTCCTTTTCAGAATTGTAAGTAATAAGTTTAATTTAATTACCTTTTTGCTTGAAATTTTAAAACACAAAAATCATTGTGTTTGGTATCATTTTAGATCATCTTTACATTCACATAATATTTAAAAATTTATCAACCACATACCTATATTATTTTCCTATGATGTGGATTCATAAGCTACTTGGGTCAAACATCATCTGCTAAAATTCAATTTTATGTAGTAAATGCACATATATGTATTTTACTCTAAAATAAAGTACATTACTATTAGTTCTTGAGCCTCACCTCAAGCTCATATATCAACACTGCACAAACTTTGTTCTAGGAAATACCATTTTTACTGAGTATGCATACAAGCTCACAGCTCTGAAACCCAAAAACTTCAGAAATTTTCTTAGAAAATTTGGCAAACAATTCCTTAGTATCTAAACTTAAAACTTAAAAGAGTGTGAGGCTATTTATAGTCTTTATTTATCAGAGAGTGAAACTTTTTCCACAAAACTATAGAAATGTTGTGTTTGATTCGCTGCTGGCATAATTATGTAAGATATGTGCTTTCCACCTCATTATATTTCTGAAATCTGAAATATTTTGGTTTCCAAATCAAATCTGACAAAAAAGTTTCACGTAAGAGACTGTGGATCACACACACACACACACGCAAATGAGTGCATTTTGTGGGACATAAGTTTAAAAAATTCTATGTGAAATAAAGACAAAAACGGTCTCTTTTTCATTTCTTAGGTCTTTTACTTTGCTCATTTCCTTGGACTTTCCAAGGATTGATGGAGTATGCAGTATTTTCAGAATATTTGAATGAGTAACCACTTTATCAAGAAATTTCTTATATGCCCAGTCTTCAGCAAACCTTTTTTAGAAAACCACATAACTATAGAAAGACTAATTGTCCTGAATTTGGACAGCTGCACCATTATTTCATTTCTATCACTCACAGGAACTTTACATGCAAGGTCATCAATTCTGTCTGCATTGCCAAATTCAATAGCCATTATTCAGTTCTCATCTTTCCTCTCATAGCATTTTACACTGTTGATTGCCTCCTTCTTGAAACTTTGGCATCCAGGACACCACCAAGTCCTTTTTTTTTTTTTTTTTTTTTTTTTGCTACCTCATTTGCTGCTACTTGGGTCTCCTTGATCAGAACAGTAACCTCTTTTTAATCTCTAAAGATTGAAGCGCCTCAGAATTCAAACCTCAGATCTGTTCTTTTCTCTATCTTTCTTTACCCTCTATGCAATCTAATTCCCATCTATATTTTGAAACATATCATGAAATGCCCATCTATATCTGAAAACCCTCAGTAGTGAATATGTACCCTGAATCTCTCTACAAATAACCAACTTCCTTTACTTCGGTGGAGTTTCTATTGATTTTACTTTTCTTTTGTGATTATCTTTACACAGAGATAACAGTTTGTTATATGTACAGATGTAGTCTTCATCCCGGGTAATTTTATTTAAACAATGGACTTTCCCCATGTAAACCAGACCTTGGTATGCATACTTCAGAGAAGATAGGATAAGCTAATTCATGGCTTTTAAGCTTGAAATTCTGAAGTTTTCAACAACAGAGTTGAGATTATTCTTGAGTATGCCTGTACATTATTTCCTGTCTGAGGCCTTGGAATATGGTGGTTATTATCTGCTTCCTCTCTTCCCAGGTCTGTTATCTGCCTTTCTCTTCTCTGTTCTTTGCCCCAAGAGGCCAATCACTATAAAATGGATTATTGAAGATCCCTGGATCTCGCACTTCCAGTTGGGTTCAGTCAATGGGATTCACCATCAGGAGGCAGGAAAAGGGAGAAGCCAAGGTATTTATACTTCTTGCTTCCGACTAACTTCAGTGAAGTTCTGGAAGTGGCTGTCTCCCGCAGTGACTATACCCTTTTTAGTTTTCCCCTTTATAATGGTTCCAGGCCCTAACCAAAGCTCCACTAACACTATTTCTTTCCCTTATCATCCCTTCTCACCTGGGGTTGGGGAATAGCTTCCTGCTTTACTAGCCCTTAGGTGCCTCAGTACCTCTTGTAGAGATACTCATGGTAACCTCTTCTACTCTATTTCAGCATGCTGGTAAAAGGGAACTTTTAAAGGCTGTGTATCAATCTGTTTCCTGGACAGAAACCAACAGCACTCTCAGAAAATATAATAAAATAACTATTGGCATAGATGTGGGCAAAGTTTTGAGAAATATCAAGGTGAGTTGTACCTTAAATATCTTCATAGAGATCTGATTGAATGCTTTGGATCTGAAATTATCATAGAGCATGACATAGATATATCTAAATATCTGGTTTATTTCTTCCTTGTTTTGCTAGATTTACATGCATCCTGCCTGAGAATTTTACTGCATAATTTTCAGTTTTCATTATTATAAAAGAGGGAGACTATAGATGAAAATAAGTGCTCAATGAATAGTTGAAACTAAGTTTCAAAATTTTATTCTGAGCCCAAAATATATCCTGCTCCTATAAAAAAATGTAAAATAACAGACATATTTATAGATGTATTTCATTGAGGCTCAGTAGTTGTGTATATATGAAGAAAGAAAACATGCAAAAATTCAGCAGAAGGGAACAGAAGGATATAGAGCACAGGCACAGAACCAGATTTTACATCACTATTTCATCTATTTTAATTCTACAACTAACAACATTCAGTGAATAAAAAAAGTGTGCAGAAGAATTGAAATTTTAGGAAGTAATGAAATACCCTCTAGCAAAAGATTCTAAACTCAAAGTTTATCAAGTAAATAAGACCAGGAAAACTTCTATGTCTTTATTTTCTACATAATTAGGAAAGAAGAGGGTACTTGGATATTTGCTTTAGATAGTAGAAAAAAATTAAGTTGGAATTATGGGAGAAAAAATATCTGATCTTTCAATGGCAAGGAATATTTCTAAGAACAAGAGAGGACAAGAAGGCAAGAGGGCATATATAGGTACAGACAAAAAGATATTTTAATAAATATATAAATCTAGAAATAGACAAAGATGTGTTGGAGAAATGTGAGACTATGGAAAGTTATACTTTATAGTATAAAACTAACTATTAAATGTAGAAAGAAAAGAAAAAATTATTATTTGGTAACCATGATAAAAATTAATTCAGGTAAACAATCATCAACAAATGCTAAAACTAGTGGGTTGAAAGTCTACAGAGCAGTAAGATTTGTACAAAGTTTCAAGGAATTTCCCCCAAAAGAAAAATAAAAGCATTGACTTTATAATGGAGAATCCTGACAGATATTATCTTAACCAAGAAGTCAAACATAACATCACTAGAAATGAGACCAATAGACATTATATGCTTCCAGATGTGACGCACTGAAGAGAGTACACATCCCTATTGTAATCTTCCTGAGAGAAAAAAGGCTATCATGATCTAATGATGAGGAAACAAACCAAAAATCGCAGAGTGAGACATATTCTACAAAATAACTGTGCCGTATCTTCCAAAAATATCAATGTCATAAAGCAAGTCACAAACTCTTTTTTGAAATGTGCACTGTTTGCTGCATAGGGCATAGTCTTATATCAGAACTCTATGAATTTGTATTGTGAGTCTTCCCTCAGGTCTTGCCAGAAACTCTGCATGGTGTCTTTTGTCATCTCTGGCATTTGTAATAACCTAAGATCTGCCAGAGCATATGGACCAAGCAGAACCACTTGTGTTGCAGCCTGTTCCTTTCTGCTCTGGGCTCCACTCAAAGCGAGACCGTTTTATGTCACTCAATATATGGGCTGGAACAGTATTGCCAAGGATTATGCCTTGTCCAAGACCCAAAAGTTCTTCTCAGTAATTATGCTTTTTTATTTGTGGATGAATATGTGAGATACAATAATATGCTCTTTACTTTGGAGGAGATATGCTGCCACATCCCAGATCATTAGACCTTTAATATGTTTACCAATGTACTGGACCCCTGTTTTCAGAATGCAAGCTTCTTACTAGGACTCTCAACATACTTGCCACTTTTCACTGGTAGTGTTAGAGAGATATAGTCAATATGTTGGGATATTCTGACATTTTTCAGAATGTCCAGACGGTTCAGGTGTCTTCAGAATAAATTACATCAGAGGGCAAGAGAGCTAACATAAACCTGGGACAAGACTGTAAACATATATTGTTATCTGCCCTTAGTAAATGCAAACTGTTCATGGTTCTCTCCTCTCTTCTAATAAAAACAAAGAAATGCATTGGCCAAGCCAATGATGGCTTAGCATGTACCTGTGGCTGTGTTAATCTATTCTAGCAGAAACACCATTTCTGGCACAGTGGCTGCAATTAGGGCTATTAAATGTTTGAGTGTGCAATAGTACTAATCCAGAATATGTCTGGATTCTGCAAGAACTATACGGATGAATTAAATGAAGATATAATAGAGATAAACCATCTGTCATTCTTTGGCTACTGCTGCTATCAGGAGGTAAGATTGCTTTTATTTACTATCTTGGTTGAGTGTTGGGGCAGTTTCAAAAGTTTCTACTTTGTCTTTTCCACTATGATATCTCTTAACCCTACTGGCCAAGGAACCAGAGTGGGATTCTGTCAACTACCAAAGTTATCTATTTTAATTGCATATTTCATGCTATATACCCCATGGATTAACTGCTAGACAGACCTGGGCCAGGATTCTATTAATTAGCTGGTCATTACAAAGCAGGTTCACTGTGCACCAGCATCAATCCTAGAGGAGGACTCAAATCCCTTACCCACTGCATGTTAGGGTGTGCCAATTTCTATCACTTGCATGAGTCCTGTGAGACAGAACACTAGCACAGAACAGGTTACACGGAGCAGATGGGCAACAAGAAAATAATTACTTGTTTTTAATATAAAATAATAATAAGTAATAATAATTAATAATAATATTATTACTTGCAGATGGGCAACAAGAAAAAATAAAAGCCTAGGATCTGTGGTGAGCTGGTCTCCTAAGGCTCAAGAAAGCTGCACATGGTGGTTGGAGTCTCATCTCCATGTGCCCCACTTGCACCACACCTGAGGGACCCTGGAAAGCTCTCCACTCTGGACTTTATACGCTGGGAGAAACATAAATTGCTGGACTGAAGCATTGTAGAAGATCCTGCTCTAGGAGGGACAGGAACAGAGCCTATGCTGTTCTGGCTAATTCCTTCTTATCCCAGGATGCTGCATTTCGAGCACCTTCTACAGTTATTCTTGAGAACTACAAACAAGAAAGGGGGAAAAACCGAGTCAGTCCAAGGCCGCTAAGGAAACTGTCCTGTAGTCTTTATATGTTCTAAATCTAACGGGTGTTCATATTGATGTTTTGAGTTGCTGGAAGCTCTAATTGGGAGAGCACTGGGAGAATCATTATTGTGTATACTCATCATTGATTTGAAGAGCCCTTCTTGGCGACCAGGCCTCTCTTTCACTCCAAGAGTTAAGTGTCTAAAAACTAACTCAGTTCCGGAAACTGAATAAGGGTGGTGTCTTATATTGGGTCATTTCTTTCAGTATCCTGATAATCCATCTTTGATTTCTTTCGATTGCATCAATTGAACAGAGTACTCCTCAGTTCCATCTGTCTGACTCCTAGAGATGTCATGTTCTAATAACCATCTCTATAACCTTCTCCATGTCAGACTTCCCTGGCTGCCACTTTGTCTTTTTCCACTCAATACAATAATTACAACCATCTGACTTACAGTTACATACTGCCACCTGTCTATTGTTTTAAGTTTCTACCACCTCCATTGCTATCATGAGCCCAATTCTGTAATAGTATCTCTTCCCATCATCCCTGACCTACAGATGAGAGCAACCACTGAAATATTTAGTGGTCTGGTGGCCCCTAACACTAGCATATTCCTTACCATTTTGCATAAGATACAACCTGTGGGCCATACTTTGAAGCATATGTATCTGATAGGTTTTCCAATATCTCATAGTACAGTAGTCTTCCCTTATCTGCAAGGAATACATTCTGAAACATTAAGTGTGTGCCTGAAATCGTGGATAGCACTGAAGCCTATATATACTAAGCTTTTTTCCTATCTGTACATACCTATCATAGAGTTTAATTTAATTTAATTAATCTGGCACAGCACATTGATGTCCATCAAAACATTTTCTGTCTATGTCTTCCACCAACAACTTTAACGTCTTTTCCATCTTAAATAAGCACTTATATTGCACTGTGGCTGCAACTTTTGCAGCTTGAGGTATATGGCATAACTAGTACAAATTTATTTTTTCTTCTTCACAATTTCATGGAAAGGAGTTTCGTTTTTACCATAGATCTTAGCAACCTCAGCATACATAATTTTTTCCTTTCCTTATTGAAAACTTTTACCTTTTTCAGTTAATGGAGCAATTTATGGCTTCCCTTTAGCATATCTGAATTGCCTGCATCACTACTCTTACACGTTGGAGCCATTATTAAGTAAAATAAAGGTTGCTTGACCACAGTACTGAGATACTGTGATAGTCAGTCTGATAACTGAGACGTCTACTAAGTGGGTAACAGGTAGGTAGCATAAACAGCTTGTTTCTGCTGGACAAAGGGATGATTCATATTCCAGGCAATGTGGAGCAGAATAACGTGAGATTTCATCATGTTTCTCAGAACAGCACACAATTTAATATTTACGAATTATTTATTTCTGAAATTTTCCATTTGATAATTTTGGACTGGGGTTGACCATGGGTAACTAAAACCATGGAAAATGGAGGACTACTATACAGCAAATCCACTCTAGCATGCTTACTATTATGAAAATTTTAATATCTTACTTCACAGTCTGCAGTGTGATGTGTGAGGTTTCCATCTCCATTGTAAAAGTTATTGCTTTTTCCACACTTCAGTATGTCCGCAGGATAGAGTGCTCTTGCCAAGGTAATAAAGCCCGTATCCTAAAAGAGTACTAACAAATCAATTAGCTTTCTATGTTCTAACTTTATATTCTATCCACACTTGATCCAGCATCCTTTATCTTCAGTCCTATATTGACTTTTAAGGTTTCTGGTGGTATACGTTAGCTAGGTTCTTTAGATTTTTTAATAATATGGTCCCTTTTCTTCTTCATCAAATATTCTATATATTTGCATGGGTTGTGTTGTAAATTAAACCTAGTGAAGTCTTAGTATCCTAGAGAGAAGATAGGAGCAGATCCTGGGGTGCAATGTGAGCGCATATTGCTGTACGGGAGAAACTTTCAAATCATCTTCAAAGAGGGGTGGTGCTAGCCATTAACAGCTAGGAGTGGGCCACTTCTTCAGGCTCAGATAATTCAGGGAAATTTAGAAATATAATAATTTTTAGGTGTATTAACACAGATGTCTCTAGGTTAAAAGTTTTTACTTGTAATATTTAATGTTTTATGTTGGATTATTGCCTGCATCACTACTTTTACACCTTGGTGCCAAAAATGAAAAAGGCATTACAAAAAGAATTAATATTGATCAGTCTGTTATTACTGACCAACAATATTGGCCAGTCTGTTATTACTGACTTAACCTATTTATGCCTGATGTTGCAATTTTTTGAATTTTTGCAATCAGACCTTGCCGACAACCTTGAGCAGTAGGATATAAATAACTCCCACATGCTTATAAAATTATGACTTGTGAAGATCCATATCTTTAAGCGAAACTTAGCTGCCCTGCAAAAAAAAATTAAATAATAGTCTCTGATATATAAATATCAGCCAAACCAAGTTATAATTTTATTTGGAAAAATGAAATATTTCAATTTTCTATATCAGTATGCCTCTCTCTTGGTTGCTAGGTATTGTTTTAGCAAGGAACCATTGTGATCCTGAGGTAAATTAGAAAGATAGGGAGGGCATAATATCAGCCCTTTGCCAACTGGATTCTACATTTTGTGCTATGGATTTTATAAATGTCTAATTAAATTTTAAATTTTAACATAATATTAAAATATGTAAAAGTGGTAATAGAAACAAAATATATTAACTCAAATTTTTATAATTAAGTTGTAGTGTATTAGATCCTATTAAATCTTATGCTGACATATTAATTATCCTTTTATAATAACTATTATTTTATAACTGTTTTGACTATGTTTTTGGATTTTTAGTTTATTTTAATATCAAAAGGAAGGAATGCAGGAAAGAAAAGAAGAAAGGAAGGAAAGAAGGAAGGCAGGCAGGCAGACAGATAGTCCAGAGAAAAGCAAAGTAGCATGATTATATGGAACAGGATAGTCCCTTAAAGGAAAATAGAAAAGCACCAACCAGAAGAAGTAGGAATGGATGCTGAATATGGAAACATCACTTACAGCTACTACACATGAGTAACACAGAAAAAAAATGGACTTGGGGCTATATGCGTGGCTTCACAATCACTTTGGTCATCAATAAACCAGGACATTAAGAAGTGTTTGGAAATATAATATATTTTGAGCAGTAGGGAAGGGGCAACTTTTCAAAATCTTTTGCTTTGTGTTATCATCTTCATTATATATGCATTGCATAAAAAGAGAGATTTTAAATATCAGAAGTTGATCTAGAATAGCATTTCTGAAGAATTCTCAATATATCAGTGCCTAATAAGCCCTTTTAAGAGACACAGTGCTGGGGTCACATTACACACCAAATGGAAAGGGAGAGTTGGAGCATCACAAAAGCTTGGTGCCAGAGAAAGACATTGAAGCAAAAACTGCACAGATCTGCCTTCACTCCCTCAGCCTGGAATAAGTTTTTCATTTATCAAGGAAAAAACTAAATTAAACCGATCTATAAAATTCTTATCTATTTTAATCAGTGATAGAGAAGATTATAGTGTTCCACTCTTTAAGGAAATACTTCATCACCAAATAAATACCTTATATCACCTATTAGAGGTAATAGGGCAATAAAAGAACATACTTAAAGATTAGAATCTAATATCCATAAAGGAGCTAGGGAAATCCTATATTATATTTGAGTTTATGACAACTTTTCAATATTTTTCACTTTGTGTTATCATCTTCATTATATATGTATTGCCTAAAAAGAGAGATTTTACGTTGGGCACGATGGCTCACGCCTGTAATCCCAGCACTTTGGGAGGCCGAGGTGGGCGGATCATGAGGTCAGGAGATGGAGACTATCCTGGCTAATACGGTGAAACCCCGTCTCCACTAAAAATACAAAAAAATTACCCAGGCGTGGTGGCACGCACCTGTAGTCCCAGCTACTCGGGAGGCTGAGGCAAGAGAATCACTTGAAACCCGGAGGCGGAGGTTGCAGTGAGCCGAGATCAGGCCACTGCACTCCAGCCTGGGGAACAGAGCAAGACTCTGAGTCAAAAATAAAAAATAAAAAAAAAGAGAGAGAGAGAGATTTTAAATATCAGAAGTTGATCTAGAATAGCATTTCTGAAGAATTATCAATATATCAGTGATTATATTTAGCAACAAAGGATATAGTTTCATAAGATCACAGAGTTGTTCTCAAAATAATTTTATCCAACCCTTTCAAATGAGTTGATAGAGATCCTGAGAGATAAAATGACTTGGCCAAGGTCATCCAAACAGCTTATCTCAGAGTTAGAAGGATAACCCACTGCTTGTCTCACACTTTAATGTCTTTGGTGTGTAAGTTTTCTACCTACATGTTTCAGGTTTCCTTACACACACACACACACACACACACACACATGCACACACACACACATCAGGAACAAAGGAACTAGCAAAACGAAGACATGTCTATATAATTGAAATAATTTACTTCGAATGATATAATTATAATTATGCGTATGAGTATATGACCATGAGCACATTAAATTGATGTGGAGTTATAGCTATAAAAACAGATAGTACTAATAGGAGATGATATTAGATTTATAAGATGTAATTATTCTAAAATCTTTATTGTTAGTACCAAGGATTGACAAATCAAGGAGAGTGTATAGACGTGTAATACCTTATTTTCATCAAAAACTATAATTAAATCTCATGACTGCATCGTGGACAATGTGGAAAAGGTGCTGACAGGAAGAATAACACATCCAGATAACCTACAGACTAAGCAGCCAGATTCCCCAAATCACTGGACCCATCTCAATCTGGAGGAATGGGAATTGTTCATTCAACTGCATTCACAAGTACTGCATATCCTTAAAATAGTTTTTAAAAGACAGCTTGTTTCATAGTTACAAGAAAAATTACAAGAAAGATATTTGTCAATAATTATCAAGGTTCTGAGATTTTACCCTACTTGCAAGCTAACAAGTTGGCCTACCACATTTTCATGGATGTTGGCAGAGATACAATATCCCTGGGTCGAAGACAAAGATCTTTATTATACACAGCACAGCAGGCAGCATGAGCTTCATACTTACATTTGTTCTTCTTATCCTGCAAATCCCATAGAATTGATATGGAGAAGTCCAGTCGATGCTGCTGCACATATGGTGGGCCTGTGTCACAGCTGAGCAGCCCTGCACTTAAAAAACCTGAATCCTTCACAGGGTACTGCTGATAAACATGCTCAATTTTTGCCTCAAGGGAGACATTATCTTTATAATCCTGGAGAGCTAACAAATTTATCTTCTGATTAAGGACTGAGAAACTATCTTTATTGCCCAAGCCTGTTCCTTCATACAGACATCCTTGAAAAGACAGTCCAGAACAAAAGCTCTCAGAGCCTCTACTCAAAAGCCATGCAGAAATGTGAGAGATCAGTAGGAAATTATTTCTCAACAGGTGGCTGTATCATCAGCCATTCATGAATTTGCACAAGTTGCTCCAAAAGTAATTTCCTCTAATTGAACACCTAATAAACTTTACTGGGACAGCAAATAGAATGTGACAGCTGGCACTTGCTTTCAGGGGCAGGCATCTAAAAACCCAGAAAAGTTCAATTCTACCTGTTATCTCAAAACCCCACACAAATTTCCTTAGAAACCATAAAAAGCCTATGTGTCTTATATCGACAAATTCCTCATTCTGCACTGGTAAGAAAAAGAAAGGGAAGAAAAAGAAAAAAAATTGTGATATAGTCATTTTATGAACTTCTGTTTGCTATTATGAACTTCCTTCCAGAACTTTTTCTGGTTTCAATGATGAAGCTGGGATGTGCCACATGAGCTCACACATTGGGCAACTTTCTGGAGAAGGGAGGTATGTTAGCCCATTCTGCATGAGAGGTCAGTGGGCACAGGGTCTGAAACCACCATATCAAATAACAATCTCATCAACCACTGTTACTTTTTATTGGGTTGCACCTTGGATTTACCTAGTTAGAGTTTTTCCCAGGTTCGTTTGAAGAAAGTGGTACAGGCAGCAACCTGATGGGCACAGAGCCTTCTCCAAATTGCAAAGAAATCAGACCCCACCCCTATCAACAACAACCATATCTGCCTCAGTAAGACATTCAACAAATCCACAGTCGGAAGGAAATTCAGAGTTGGAAATAAGTCTAAATATCCTTATGATAGTACTTAATAAAGGAATATACAACCTATTTTTTGATTTCTGATTCAAGGGTTAGAATTCTTAATTATTTGCCCTCTATCTAAGGGGCAATTAGAATGTTTGACTCTGTCACTTTCCTACTTATTTATAGAGAATTCATACGCAAAAAAGGCCATTTAATGTTTGATGGTATTTTTAACTCTTAAAAACTCTGTTATTATTATATTAACAAACAAGAAATTATAAATAGCAAGCAGGAATTTTCAAGCTTTTTTCTTTTACAGGTACATGCTTTGACTTCATATTTGTATATGTAGTCTTCAGAATCACAGTGACCTATTTGTGAAAAACGAATGTTCTTCCTAAATCAAACCATCTTGCTTATAATGTTTTACACATGAAGATGGAGTGTATATCACAGTTGCTGAGGAAAGAGTAGAGCTAAACATTCATTCAATTTCGTCATGAACTTTCAGAATTTATGTGAATTCTTTGAAGCCTGTGTCTTAACTCATTTGAAATTATTCATCTTTCAAATAAGTATTCACTCTTTCCCATGCTTTGTATTACCAATGTGTTGCAGAAGACAGAAACGGAGAAAGTTGGGAACTATGTTATAAGTCTTTTGTCAAATGATAACATATTCAGGAATATATTATTGGACTGAAGCATATTTCCTGCTTGATTCTGAACAACTTCTTTGTCTGTTTATTGCCCCTCCTTACCAGGATAATCCAGGCTGCCAAATTGGATTTTGGCATGTGGCTTGGATTTACCAATGTTTTGTTGCCAACCCTAGATCTAAATATGCAACTCTAATAGGTTCTTTGCTGCATGCACACAGCAAGTCAATACACCAAGACAACGGTTGCAGCAGAGAAAGAGGTTTAATCACAGAATCACTGAATGAGAAGATGGGAGGAAACCTCAAATCCATCTCCCTGAGGAGTTTGGGGCTAGGGTGTTTAAGGGTTTTGTAATGAGCTAAAGTGTGGTGATCATTGATTGGTTGAAGAGTGCAGGGTGAAGTCATGGGTCAGGGAGATGAAGAAACTGTATTCTCATGCTGATCCGGTTCCTCTGCGGGGCTCTTCAAACTGGTTGCTAGAATTCTAGGCCTAATAAACATCTTAAGCAATCTTTAAACAAAAGCCTTATGATTCTAATGTCAGAGATTCTATCTATAGGAAAAATGGGGATGCAGATCAATTCTTCAAGCCTTATGACCCCAATGTCAGAAATCCTATCTATAGGGATAATGGGGATGTAAATGGTCAGCATCTAGTGCTGCAGGACTTTTAGCAACAAGGAAGTGGACCAAACTGCAGCCTGATTAATGTTTAATTAAAACTATATTTCTGTCCAGAACCCAGCATGCAATTCTTGTCAACCCAGTGGGAACAGTTTCAAATACATTTTGCAGCTAAACACATTGATGATTTTTTCTGTGTGAAAAAGATAAGTCTCTACAAAAGGGTACAAAGTCCTTTAGGGTAGCAATTAATGAACTCCTCAAAGTCTATGTTAGAAATCCTGATTTATGGACACTCATAATTTATGGAAATGTCAACCTACTTTCCAAAAGATAACATGAGATAAATGCAAATTAAACTCAAATTCAAAATTCAATGACAACCTATTTGGAAAATTCTTGTGTAATAAACAGGTGTTTTGTTTTGTTTTGCTCGTTTCTTCTGTCTTTTGTTTGAATGTATAACTTTAATAGCTGAACCAGTTTAAACCGGGATAGAAATTTGTTTACTCACCTTAGTAGAATTCAGTGCAAATGACTGAGATTAGCTGTATTTTCTGTGCTAATAGACAAGTTTACAACTCATAATGTCTATCATTTAGTACTCTTTTTCTGAATATTCCTTTGTTATCACCTCAATTAAAAGGGAGAAAACAAGAAGTGTCATTTATCCACACAAATGCTTGCTTAAAAAACTTTTTGAGGCATTTTGTTAATGAGTTGATGACTTGCCCAAGGTATCATGATTATTCCATGTAAGAATCTGTATCCTCTCATAGGTAAGGCTGCCTCTAAATCCTGTTCTCTTTCTGCTGTCCTCATAGGCCAAACATTACTATCTTATTACATAAACTGTCTCTTCCCTTATGCTCAGCTGTGGCTTTTTCTCAGAAAAAAAAAATCAGAGTTTTTTATAAAGAATATCTTTAAGACACATTGCTTTCGTGTTTGTCTTCAGCCACTTTGTGCTGCTATAACAAAATATCTGACAGTAGATAATTTATCATGAACAAAAATTTATTTGAGACTTATCATTCTGGAGGCTGGGGAGTACAATATCAAGGTACTGGCATGTAGTGAGGGCCTTTTTGCTGAGTCATCCCATGGCAGAAGGCAGAAGGTGGAAAGACAGGAGAGGGTGAGAGAGATAGGGGGTTTAAACTCACAGCCTGTAGCCTTTTTATAATCTGCATTAATTCATTTATGAGGGCGGAGCCCTCATGATCTAAATGCCTCCCATTAGAATACACTACCCAACACCTTTGTTTTGGGGATTGTGTTAGTGTGTTTGCATTGCTATTAGGTTGGTGCAAAAGTAATTGCGGTTTTTGCCATTAAAAGTAACAGCAAAAACCGCAATTACTTTTGCACAAACCTAATATGAAGATGTACCCAAGGCTGAGAGTAAGTTATTTAATTAAAAAAAAAGAGGTTTATCTGGCTAAGGGTTATGCAGGCTGTATAAAAAGGATGGCACTGGGCCGGGCACAGTGGTTCATGCCTGTAATCCCTGCACTTTGGGAGGCCGGGGCAGGCGGATCACCTGAGGTCAGGAGTTCGAGACTAGCTTGGCCCACTCTACTAAAAATACAAAAATTAGCTGGGCGTGGTGGTGGGTGCCTATAATCCCAGCTACTTGAGAGGCTGAGGCAGGAGAATCGCGTGAGCCCAGGAAGCGGAGATTGCAGTGAGTCAAGACCGTGCCATTGCACTCCAGCCTGAGTGGTAAGAGCAAAACACTGTCTAAAAACAAACAAACAAACAAACAAACAAAAGGATAGCACTGGCATCTGCTACTGGTGAGTCCTCCTCACCTCCTCAGGAAGCTTACAATCATGGTAGAAGGTGAAGTGACAGCAAGTGATGTCACATGGTGAGAGAGTGAGCAAGAGAGAGAGAGAGAGAGGGAGGAAGTGCCACACTCTTTTAAAAAACCAGATCTCATGTGAACACAGAGCAAGAACTTATTACTGTGAGGAAGGCACCAAAATATTCATGAGGGATCTGCCCCAGTGACTCAAATGCCTCCCATCAGGCCCGAACTCCAACATTAGGGATTACATTTCAACATGATATTTGGAGGAAACAAACATCCAAAGCATATCAGGGGTTAAATTTCCAACATATGCTTTTTGTAGGACACATTCAAACCATAGCAGCATTTTTTATTAATTACCTGACATATTTAAATCAGCTCTTTACCCTATATCTTTTCCTCAAATTTATTTAGGATGCATAGTTTCAAGCTTCAGTGTGCTCAACTGATAAAATTGAAATGAAACACTTACTGACTTTTTTCAAATATCAAAAAAGTAAAAATAAATGCATTTGCTTAAAACTGTGCGCTAAAATGCTACAGCATAGGGGCAATAACCAGCCTGATGTCAGCAGAGAAAAAAATTGAAAGGTACAATTTCTTTCAAGTTCAACTTTGATCGCCATTGATCAGCCCACCTTACTGTACTCTATGCTTGTCTGTCAAATCAAAGGAGCAGAGGAGACATTAGGGAGAATCAATAGGTGTTACAGGGTGTTCCACAAAGCACTTGGTGCTTAATTTACTGCAAAGTGAAATATTGACTGCAGAGCCAGAGGAGGATGGCGATATGTGGTTTAGATTAGATTCAAACACTTTTTAGCCCTCAGAATACTATTAATCAGGCTAATATTGAGTAAATATTTATTAAGCACCTACTGAGAAGAGGCCCTAGATGGTTCCTGAGTTGACAACATTAGTCCCCACCCTTGAAGATCTAATGATCTAGCAGAAGAGTAGCCAGAGTAATAGGTATAAACACTGATGAGTCTTATGATGAAAGCTTCTTTCTTTGTGCCCTGGGCTCACACAGTTGAGCTTTATTGATATACCAAGCAAAAAGGGGCAAATCCATATTAGGAAAATAGTCACTAAATTGGGTGGGGGGCGGGGAATAAGAGTGGATGTCTCCTGAAGAGTTTTCCCTGAGTGTGGAACAGTTCTGATTTCCTGGATTGCCACTTTTATTCTAAAGCTGTGTGTTTCCTAAATTTGTTGCTAACCTAACAGTCACTTTTTGCCCACCCCTGACCCACTGGATCAGAATCTGTATGAAATGCATCTGGGAAGCTCCATTATTAACAGGTAACTTTGGTGATTTTATCGGGATGTTTACAAAACACTGCCATAGCTACTCCCTGCAACCCTACCATTTGAGCTTATCTCTTTCATTGAGCAGCAGGTCTCAAAGTTTAGCTTGCAAAAAATCACCTGAATCTCTACTATTTCTATTTCAAGTCCCTTTAGTTTAATTGATCTTCTCAAAGTTTAGAGGCATTCATGTTAACAATGTTAAGGTTCCTGAGTCCTATCTTCATAGGCATTAATTGAGTGGGCCTGCTGTGGAGCCCATTAATCCGTATTTTGACAGGCATGGTTGGGTAAGAGATTCTGATGAAGGTGATCCTTGGAAGGTACTTTGAGAAATATTGGCTCAAATAGTCTTTATTCCTCTTGAAAAGAAACACATTACACTCTTGTAATTTGGTGCAAAAGTAGGATTTAAGAATTGGATTTAATTTCAGGTTATAAATCTAGCAGAATGAAAACTATAGTGAGGACAGGAGTGTTTTTTTTTTTCTGTTCTGTTCAATGATGTGTGCCCAACACCTAAGAGAGTGGCTTTCACATAGTAGATGCCCCCAAACTAGTTGTTGACTTGATGAATCAACTCAAGGCATAAGGACATTATGTCCGTTACTTTGCATGCTCCCCATATCCTCTAATGAAGTGTTATAGACAGAAGGAATTTACAAACAAATTTGCAAATAGAGAGCAGGGTGGCAGTGATAGGAGTAGAAGGACCAACTCTGAAACACATTGGACCTTCAGGAGGAAAAAAAGAGGGTCAAGACAGGGAAGCAACCATGGATAGCATCACCCCCAACTCCCACTCTGCCAACCTTACTGGCTGTGTAAGGCTATCCTGCCCTTGGTCACTCTATTGGTTTCCTAGGGATGCTGTAACAAAGTATCACAAACTGGGTGGCTTAAACAACACAATTATAGTGTCTTACAGTCAGGTAGGCTAGAACGAAGATTAAGGAGTTGGCAGGATTGCTTTCTTGTCGGGGTTATGAGGAAGAATCTGTTCTGTGCCTCTCTCTTGGCTTCTGGTGGTTTGCTGGCAATCTACAGCATTCCTTAGCTTGTAGATTCATCACCCCCATCTCTGCCTTCATCTTTACATGGATTCTTCCTGTGTCTGTGTCTGTCTCTCTGTCTGATTTTCCTTTTTTAAAAAAAATAAGTATGGCCGGGTGCAGTGGCTCATGCCTGTAATCCCAGCAATTTGGGAGGCCAAGGTGGGTGGATCACCTGAGGTCAGGAGTTCGAGACCAGCCTTGCCAACATGGCGAAACCCCATCTCTACTGAAAATACAAAAAATTAGCCCAGCGTGGTGGTGCCCACCTGTAAGCCCAACTACTTGGAAGGCTGAGGCAGGCAGGAGAATCACTTGAACACGAAACCGGGATGTTGCAGTGAGCCGAGATGGAGCCACTACACTCCAGCCTGGGCGACAGAGCAAGACTCCATCTCATGTTAACTTGAACATCTGCAAAGGCCCTATTTCCAAATAAGGTCACATTCACAGGCATTTATTACTGATTTGCCCCAGAGGCTTTGTGTTGTCCCCTTTGATGAGAGATTACACTTTTAAAGCTACAGCATGGGAATGCCACAGGGTGAGGTGAGGTGCTGATGAGGAAATATACATAAATCAAGGCTGCAGCTTTCTCCTTGCCTTACTTTATTTTCTGAACTTTCCTTATGCAGGTGTAGATATATAATTTCATTTTGTCTTTCAACAGGAACTGGGTGGGCAGGGGGAACAGTGGCATCAAATGTGTTGGGGTCACTATCGCCTTCGCCTCTCAGTTCTTTTTGGCTTTGCCTGGGATTCTGTGTCCCTTCATTCAGCCCCTGATTGTTCACTTGCTCCTATGTTAGTGAAAGAGAGATGCTGAACGTTAATGAAAAAAAGCCATCCTGCGGTATGCAGCTCTTATGCATTCTGTAAGGGCTGCTGCCTTCAAATATTTCCAAGGCATTAGAAGTGTTTGCTGTGGAGACACCCACCATCTGTTCCTGCCTTCACTCCTGGGTGTGAGAATTGTTATGAGGACAGTACAATGGCTCCTCCCAGCTGTTCCTGGATCTTGGTCTAAGTCCTTCGGGAACTGATATTTTCAGGAACTAGGGTATAGAGATTGTTGAAATAGGATTTTAGTGGAATAAATGAAATACATAGCGATGTGTGTTATAATCACAAGGAATATTTTCCCCAATTATTAAGTGCCATGTGAGAGATGAGACAGATTAACGGAATGGTATATATTAAATGACTTAGGTTCATGTAACTTTATTTTGATGTTTTCTGAATGTATTTGCTCTAAGATTGAACTGGTGTTGCTTCTAATGGATTTTCCACAACAGTTGCTCCTGGAATATGTAGGATGCCAGAATGTTTCCCTTTGTAGAAGATGAGCTCTGCACTGTGTGTGTGCCTCTTCAGGAAATAGCCTCCTGTCAAAACTTACTACAGCATTTCTTTTATATATATGAAAGGATAATTTTGGTGAAACTAGATTTGTAGGTGGCAAAAGGAACAGAGGTAGCTCCAGTTTTAAGAAAACGTGCTTGGTCTTCTGTTATTTCACTTTTGATAGCTCCCTTGGGGGCAACCCCTTATTTCAGAGCAATTATACCATTTGTAGAGCACTTGATAATTTACCAGGCACCTTTACACATATGTTATATTTTGAGCCACATAATAAACTTCAGACCCTGGATTTATTTTCTTCTTTTAAGCAAGCAAAAAGAGGCTTAAAGATTTTAAAGAAATTCTCTAAGACAACACTGCCAGCAAGTGGCAAAGCAGATGCCAAATATATCTTCCAAATTCTATACTTTTCTTCCCATAAAAGTTTATGATTCTCACAATGAAAGGGGAATAACATCTTACTTACTCTGCCATTTGGATCCCTAGATGAATCAGGAAGTGTCTCAGGTTGTTTGATTCAAAGCAGTGGTTCTCAAGCTTGGGTCCCTAAAGCAGCAGCATCAGCAACATCACCTGGGAGCTTGTTAGAACTGCAGCCCCTGAGGCCCACCTTAAACATACTAAACCAGAAGATATTGGGGCAGGTTCCAGAAATCTCTTTTCACCTGTCCTCCAGGTGATTTTGATGGATAATATTACTTGATAAGCTCTGACTTAGAGGAGACAGTCTCACACAGGCCCTCCATCCCTCCCTCCCGTTAGCCCAGAAGGCAGCATTTAGTTTGAAAACACTTTCTGATGACAGGTAAGAAGCATTTTCTTGTCATTTAGTACATCAAGAGAGTTTTTCTCTATGACAGAGAAACAGGGACAAATGCAATGTGTGAGTGGATGGGTGAGAAGAGTGAAGGGAAAATTATAGGCTGTGAGATTGTGTTATTTGGGGAGATTGTTGAGGACCTCACATCTTGGGACTTCTGTATTGAGAAGATAGAGCAGGGAAGGAAATGCAGAAAGAACTGAATTCTAAATTTCCACTTCCCAATTATGTCCAAGACTAATTCTCTGACAATCATTTTTCCTGAAATGCCACTGCCTTTTAGAATTGATAATTCCAGCCTATTGATTCAACCAATCATTTGATATATTCTACAAAACAATAGAAAAAATAGAGGGTAAGTCTCATAGTAGGAATCATAAATTTCAAGGAACAAGATCCCTGCTTTAACTCTGGAAGGCACCTGGCTAAAGTGGAAGTAAGACATGCTTGCTGGATCTGAAGGCTACTGGGTATGTCCAGGCCGCTCCTAAGAGGTCTGCCAAGACTCTGTGGGTTTAGCAGAGTACAAAGCCAAAGTTAATTGCTCCTCATAAAGCCCAACATGCTCAGAGTGAACCTTCTTCATGGATGTTTTCCAGTCATCAGCATATTTCATGAGTATTTGCCATACAGTTTAATGGTAACCAAAACACTTATTGGGTAGAAATCATCTGGATCATCAATTCTGTTCATTTAAAAAATTAATAGAGAAATGCAATGTTTCTACACAGCAGTGAAAGTCCTTTTGCTGTTATTTTGGTCCACATTTTGACTGAAGTTGAAGGTTAGCTGCCAGAAAACTTTTCATCATATATGAAAGTAGCCCTGCTCCTGAATATGAGACAGAAAAGGTATATAAATCTTACTATACATTTGATGTTGCTAATGCTAATGGAGTTATTTACATACATAAATTTTGCATAATAATATAGACTTTTTTCATTTTCTATATGCAGGATAAAACTGTAAATCCTCTGTGCTGTTTAGACCCCCAAGTGGATGTACTGCAATACAATTCTGACACTAACTACCTGGAGTTAGTATCATTTTGTCAATACTGCTTTGATAGGTATAATGACAAGGGAAATATTTAATTCAGTTAATGGTAGGACGATGATTTGGTTTGTGGGGAGCCTGATATGCTGAATGACAGGCTTAAGTGCTGCAGCCCTCCATGCGTCTACCTCCCTGCAGTGGCTTCATCAAGGGCCCACTGCCCCTCCAAGCCCCTTGACTTTGGCTTGGCCCGCTGAGTTGCTTTGGTCTATTGCATGTCGGTAAAATTGACCAAGAGCTGAGTTCCAAATCTAGGCCTTAAAGGCCCCACATGTTTCTGCTTGCCCTTTTCCACCTCAGGCGTCACTATGAGAAGAGTTTTCACCAGCTGTTGCACATTCAGCCTCAGCCCCAAATGAGGCATGTGGCATAGAGCTGAGTCAGCCAAGCCCAGCCTAGATCATCTGACTCCCAGGTGTGTCAACTGCACTATCCAACTTCAGATTTGGTGAAATAAATTTTTTTGACGATATGTCTTGTGACAATAGCTAATGAGTAAAAGAAATGTTTCCGTTCTTTTCCGAGTTAACTGTCAGGGGCTTGAGTTCAACAATATGCTACAATAAGCGATGAAATTTTGCTTTCTTTCTCCCAACTTTTGATTCTTTAAAGAGAGTTAAACGTCACAGATGGCCCAGGGCTGAGAAGCTAGGACAGGGTCAGCCAAATGAAGAGCCATGGGTATGCTCCAATCTGTCAAGAAAAGCAGCCTCCTTGGGCTAACTCTTTAATGTAGGGATTAGTTCTGTTTGAGCAAGTTGGACTTGGGTGTTTGAAATAAAATTCTTAATATTATCTACAATTTTCTTTAAATATGGATTGGGATATATATATACGTATATATATACACATATATACCTATATATATACGTATATATATACGTATATATATACGTATATATACGTATATATACGTATATATATACGTATATATATACGTATATATGTGTGTATGTGTGTGTGTGTGTGTATATATATATATATATATATATATATATGATGTATGTGTGCTGTTTTTCAGTCTACCCTCTGAATATCATTAGTGGACAGTTGTGGCCCCTAATCAAGAGTATACACGAAAGGGCCTACTTAGTTAACATTCAGAGTGTTTATTCCGAAATTCAGGCTCCAGAAGTGTCCTTCAACTAACTTTATTTTTGATCAACTCCAGATGGTTTGCTACTTAGTATAACGTAAGGAATAATTGTAATTGCTTACTAGAATGCTGTTAATTATGTGTGGATTTGCTAGAATATTGTCTATATTTCTGCCTTTGCATGAATCAGAACAGGAGGTCTGGAGAAGCCCAGATTCTATACCTTTTAGAGTGGTACCCTAAGTACAGGATTATTTCTGATTCATGTGTTCAGTCACTTTTTGAGGATTCTGAAATAGTGTCACATCTACCTTACATAGAGATTTCAGGCAAAGCATTTATTGAAATGCATAGAAGAACAAAATTATGCCTACATCTCTATAAATGTGGCATGTGTAGCAGAATATTATCCATGACTTGTAACATACCACTTGGTTCTGAGGTCCCAGGGGAGAGGAGTTAGACAGCTTTTTCTATATCTAACTATTGGATGTTACCAATATTTACCACAACCTAATAGTTGTGCATAACTAAATTGCCTTAGTCCAGTATAAAACTGTTTCATAAAGAGGTTTAGTTAAAAGCTAATTAAAAGTGGAATGAATAAAGGGTGGCATATTCTTTTCATGAAATTCTTTCAGCAACATAAAAATATTGCTTTATATAATGTCAAAGATAAACAAAGCTAGATACTAGGTAAAGCAGTAAAGACATATTTTATTCAGTAATTACTATGGCAATAGGGAAGAGAACCTAGTGTCACCTGAACTTTACTGAAACAAAAGGCAGGAGATTTTTAAAGAGTGGAGTGTACTAAAAGAAAAAGCATTGAAGGGTGTTAAGGAGGAGTTTGGTCCTTGTGACTAAGCTCTCTGGTTTGCTAATTGGTGCTTATCTGGAAGAGAAACAAGGTTCTCCTATGTGGATGACAGGAGGCAGTAATACAAATTGGAGCAAGGCACCCACTAAAGTTAGGACCTTATCCTCCCATGAGAACTGTTATCAAGAGTGAGAGAGTTGTCTCCTCAAAGGTTTGCACTTCAAAAAGATAGCTTTCAGGTTTTGAGGGGATAGTATTGAACATTGAAAGATTCATATCTCAAAGGGGCAGAGAAAGAATTTATAAATGCAAGGTTTCTTTTTTTTCTTTTTTCTTTCTTTCTTTTTTTTTTTTTTTTTTGTGACAGAGTTTCACTCTTGTTGCCCAGGATGGAGTGCAATGGCGTAATTTTGGTTCACTGCAACCTCCGCCTCCCAGGTTCAAGCTATTCTCCTGCCTCAGCCTCCTGAATAGCTTGGGATTACAGGCATGCGCCACCACGCCTAGCTTTTTTTTTTTTTTTTTTTTGTATTTTTAGTAGAGACAGGGTTTCTCCGTGTTGGTCAGGCTGGTCTCAAACTAAATGCAAGCTTTCTAAAGAAACTGCTCTAAGAGGGGTTGAGAGGCCTGTGAAATTCTATTCAGCAACATAAAAATATTGCTTTATATAACGTCAAAGATAAACAAAGCTGGATACTAGGGAAAGCAGTAAAGACAAATTTTATTCAGTAATAACTATGGCAACAGGGGACAGAACCCAGTGTCTTCTGAACTTTCATAATTATTTTGACTGAAAAGACCTAAATTCTCCTGGCAGCATTGAGATTTATCAGGCAAATATTTTAAGGGGGACAAAGGTCATCCTAGGGACACAGTCTTAGGCTGCTAGAAGCCATGCTAGAGCTTGTCAAGTCTCTTAGTGGCAAAGTTTGGTTGGATAATCATATGCTAGGAGGTTTTTCTGTTTTTCTTTTTTTTCAGTTCTTAGTAACAATAAGGGTGAATATCAAAAACATTAGGTTGGGCTCTACATTTCATATTAGAGCATTTTACTCTACCCTAATTCAAATAAATGACTACTCATAAGAAAGATATCAAGATAATGGAAAGATGCATGGCTTGCTAACAATTGTCCTACCTTTTCAGAACTGTGATTCTTATCCAGAAATTCTTTTTAAATAAAATTTTAGGATGCAGACTGCCAACTTTTAATTTCCTGTTTGCCCTTTTGAAGTCTATAGGAACTTTTTTTCATATACTTGAGAAAAAATATATATACTACAAGTATCATTCACATACCTGAAGAGGTGAAGCCATCTCATTGGAGATTTGCAATGACAGCTAGCCCATTCCCACATGACCACACTAGAGCTAGCTCAGAGGGGTAAAGCAACTTGATTAAAGTAATATATATAGCTAACCACAGCATCCAACTAGAAACTAGAACTCTATTTTGTTTACAATATGTTCTAGCATAAAATTTCCATACATGCATAGATGTGGGGTTAAGAGATTCCTTCAGTATCTTATAATGTGAACTCAATGTATTTATTACCAGAGAAATTTTATTTATCATTCTATTTTTTAAATAAATAGAAATTCAGAAAAATAAAACATGTATTTTACATGGTTTTATCTCTCTTTTAAATTCTGAAATAATCGATATATGAAAATTGATTTAACTTATATCTGTTCCACACTTTTAACAGTTTAGCCAACTCTTTTCAGGCTTAGTCTTTATTTTTATTATAACTTTCCCATTATAATCCACATTTATTTGATTTTTAGAACTCTGAGTTTTTCTCCTTCAACATCCTTTTCGTTAATATTTAAGACAGGTTCCCACAGCTTCAAACTCAGTCAAAGTGAACTGAATGTTGATGCTAATAATGTAAGCTTTCTGAGACTTAAACCTGAAGTTCAGATTGAGATGCATGCCACCAGGGTCAATGTGGAATGTCCAGAAGTGGCATACTTGGTGAGAGAAATAAGACACTTAGTGAGACTGTGCTCAAGAGATTCTGGACCATCTCCTGCTTTAAAATTTCAGGTTCCTATACAGTAGAAAGTAATGCAGATGCAATTCTTTTTTTGAAGAGTGAAGAACATGAAACATTACACTCTGCAGCGTGCACTACATCCAATGCCTTTAAAAAAAAAGTCTGTACCTGTTCATACTGCTGTTTCTCAGGCAATCAAACATATTTGAATGTGAACAATCTCTTCTAGTTTCCCACTATATATTTTTGAATTGGATGTCAGGAGGTGTAACCTTTGAATAAATTCAGAACAGAGAGAAGATGAAAGAAGACAGTAGAAGAGAGAACTCTGATTAGTTCATGGTTTGGTTCTTTTGTTGTAGGGAAAAGAGACGCATTATTCTGGTCACTGTAGCCTGGAATCCTGGAATTAGGTTCATACCATTTTTGGGTACCATCTTTGGCTTTTTCTAGTTCAGCAAATGTGCTTCTAAATTCGTCCTCCATGCTAATGCAATCAATGAAAATTGCACCTTGAATTCATTTCAATGTCTTCCTTGATCTCCACCAAGGGCTGTTGCCAAGTGGGTATTGCACCATGTATCAGAAGAGGGAGAGGCCATTACCCCAAAAACACACCCACTCTGCCTCTGTGAAGATGCTTAGGCAGGATTCGGTTTTAAGGAGAAGAGCTAGGAGCAGAAGGAGCTGAGAGACTGAAATAGTTTAACTAAAATGGGGCTTAGAGTATTACCTAAAATGACTGCATAGCTTATTTAAATTAGATAAGTTTAAAACAAATTATGCATACACATATATACATACACACATATATACACATATATACAATAAATGTGTTTATGTACGTGTGTGTGTGTGTGTGTGTGTGTGTGTGTGTGTGTGTGTGTTCCACCACAAAAGAAGCAGGTTGCGGCTTGGACCCAGATTAGTTACAACATAAAGAAAACAAAGGTGCTGCACTTTTCTACCCATTAAATTGATTGTGTAAAATTTGCAGTGCAGCTGCATTTTCTACCCTAGATTTTTCTTTAATTGTTTTGAAGTGCCTTTAACTATATCTCCTCTTTGACTGAAGTGTCACTAAGTTTCAGTTTCCAGAAAAATCACATGTATGCAAGATGTGCTCAGTAATTAATTTTTGATGCAGGAGTGAAGATATGTCTTCAGTATACTGATTTCCTTTCTTTTGGGTATATACCCAGCAGTTGGATGGCTGGATTACATGGTAGCTCAATCTTTAGTTTTTTGAGGAACGTCCAAACTGTTCTTTAAATTATGACTAATTAAAATTAATTCTCTCAATTTCTTGAAGATGGTAGAGGTGAGTTTGAACTGAAATTCTACTATCACATGTAGTCAAATACAATAGGAATACTTCTATGCTCTCCATTTAATATGATGAATAATGGAAGCCTTGGGATGAAAGGGTAAGTCTTTACTCTTCTGAATGACTCCACTATTAAAGCAGCATTGCCTCCAGGGGAAGGATATTACCTCAAAGCACAGGTAAGATGTGAACAGCTCAAATGAGATAAAACACACAAGCTTAATACCAGAGAGCCATTATTCCAAACTGAGAGAGGCTCCTGGAGTCTTGAGAGTGAGCAACCATAGGGGTTTTCATCTTCAGGGAGGTTAAGTGCACAATGGCATCCAGGAATACCCGTAAGCACTACATTGGCTGTGGACCTGTGAATGAATTATGCTGAAGAGCTTGGTTGCCTTTGCATAAAACACTTTTCAAGGAAATTCTGACAAGAAGTGTAATCATACTTCTCTCCTCTCACACAATTATCAGAGGGGAAATAGTTTTAGCAAGAACATGACAGATGTAAGGTTTATTGTTTACTAAATATGCAATAAATCATCAGTACTTTTCATAGAGAGAATCCCAGAATATGTCAGGAAATTTCATTAATTGATATTAATCTTGACGTATCTTTGCAAAGATTTGAAAAGCAAGCATTGTGATTTATTACGGCAGGAAAACGTGTGAGTTATAAATATGAACTTCAAGTTGGCTAAATTCTTTTTTTTAATTTTTAAATTTTTTTATTATACTTTAAGTTCTAGGGTACATGTGCACAACATGCAGGTTTGTTGCGTATGTATACATGTGCCATGTTGGTGTGCTGCACCCATTAACTCATCATTTATATTAGGTATATCTCCTAATGCTATCCCTTCCCCCTCCCCCCACCCCACGACAGGCCCCGATGTGTGATGTTCCCCACCCTGTGTCCAGGTATTCTCATTGTTCAGTTCCAACCTATGAGTGAGAACATGCAGTGTTTGGTTTTCTCTCCTTGTGATAGTTTGCTCAGAATGATGGTTTCCAGCTTCATCCATGTCCCTACAAAGGACATGAACTCATCCTTTTTTATGGCTGCATAGTATTCCATGGTGTATATGTGCCACATTTTCTTAACCAGTCTATCATTGATGGACATTTGGGTTGGTTCCAAGTCTTTGCTATTGTGAATAGTGCACAATAAACATATGTGTGCATGTGTCTTTATAGCAGCATGATTTATAATCCTTTGGGTGTATACCCAGTAATGGGATGGCTGGGTCAAATGGTATTTCTAGTTCTAGATCCTTGAAGAATTGCCACACTGTCTTCCACAATGATTGAAATAGTTTACAGTCCCACCAGCAGGGTAAAAGTGTTCCTATTTCTCCACATCCTCTCCAGCATCTGTTGTTTTCTGACTTTTTAATGATCGCCATTCTAACTGGTGTGAGATGGGATCTCATTGTGGTTTTGATTTGCATTTCTCTGATGGCCAGTGATGATGAGCATTTTTTCATGTGTCTGTTGGCTGTATAAATGACTTCTTGAAGCACATCCCTTTCTTCCTATTAGGAAACTAAAATTCCTTTGACAAAATTTCCAAAGAAACACACCTTCCACCTCAATTCTATATAGTAGCTGATGGCTATAGTTCTTGAGTGCTCAGACGTTTCACACTTAGATGTTAATTTGTTCCATCATAAATCAATTTAAGGTAGACATAGTTAATAAGGAAAACTAGTAAACCTTTCAAACATCTGCCAAGATTCTAGTACCTGATACGTGTGGCCTCCAGCTAGTTGAGCATCACAACATTACCAAGGACAGCATCATGAAGTGAAGGGGGAGATAACGTACCTAGTGAAAAAATACTGATGAGATAAAAGCTTATGAGTTTGACGTCCTCAGAAGTCTGCATCAGGGGCTACTTGTGGGCCTAATGAATTGTACTACATTAAACAAATCACAAAGTTTTACCAATCTTGAAAAGCAATTTTTACATGATTTATAAGAAATGAAAGCAAAGCTATACCAAAAGGAGTGTGCTGCTGATGAAACTCAAAACAGCAACTTTTGATGAACTTAATATAGTTAAGTCTATCCCTGTGATAAAACATGGTTTGTTTCAGGCAAAAGGATACACATCATCCTGGGAGTTTTGCCAAATACTAACAATTTTTTCTATTTGGCAAACAAGTATTTTCAAAGTGTTCTTGCTTTTTAAAGAAATCTTTTCTAAACCAATTTTGCTAAGAATGTCTTCTAAGAGAGTATGAAAAAAAAAATACTCCGTGTCTTTATAGACTCTAGGGTGTCAGAAAGTGGAACAGGTGATGGAGATCCATGTAATCTCAGCATTCTTAAAGTTGAAGAAAATGAAATAGAATTTGAATAACCTGATTAATGTCATCATTAATTTGGTGGCAGAGTCAGAAGCAACAGCTGAAACAGGGAATATTCATTCACTGAGCCCTTACTTCCTATGTGCTGGGTGTGACCCTATGTGTTTCACATGTACTAACTTCTATAGATGACAAAAACCCTGCAAGACAGGTATTATAATTATCCCTATAGTATAAATAAGGAAACAGAAGCAGAGTAATTTGCCCAAGTTTACATTACATGTGAGTGGAACAGCCAAGTTTCAAACCAGACAGTTTGGTTCTAGATCTTATGCTCTGAAAAATTACACCATCCTGCCAGCTTGTTTTATTTCCCATTTTTGTTTGTGGAGTTGTTGCATTAATTTTTAATCAGAGTTATTGAGATACAATCTGCATACAATGAAATACACCATTTTGTTAACTTTTAAGTTCAGGGGTACATGTGCAGGATATGCAGGTTTATTACATCGGTAAATGTGTGTCATGGGGATTTGTTGTACAGATTATTTCATCACCCAGATATTAGGCCTAGTATCCAGTAGCCATTTTTCCTGTTCCTCTCCCTCCTCCCACCTTCTACCCTCTGATAAGACCCAATGTATGTCATTCCCTTCTATGTGTCCATGTGTTCTCATCTCTACCACTTATAAGGGAGAACATGCCATATTTGGTTTTCTGTTTCTGCATTAGTTTGCTAAGGATAATAACCTCCAGCTCATCCATGTCCCTGAAAAGGACATGATCTCATTCTTTTTTTATGGCTGCATAGTATGCCATAGTGTTTATGTACCACATTTTCTTTATTCAGTCTATCATTGTTGGACATTTAAGTTGATTCCTTGTCTTTGCTATTGTAAATCCTGCTGCAATGAACATACGCATGCCTGTGTCTTTATAATAGAACTACTTATATTCTTTTGGGTATATACTCAGTAATGGGATTGCTGGATTGAATGGTATTTCTTTCTTTAGGTCTCTCAGGAATTGCCACACTGTCTTCCTCAATGGTTGAACTAATTTACATTCCCACCAACAGTGTACAAGTGTTCACTTTTCCCCACAACATCACTAGTATCTGTTATTCTTTGACTTTTTAATAATAGCCATTCTGATTAGTGTCAGAGATGGTATCTCACTGTGGTTTTGATTTGCATTTTTCTAATGATCAGTGATGTTGAGTTATTTTTTAATATGATTGTTGGCTGCATGAATGTCTTCTTTTGAGAAGTGTCTGTTCATGTCCTTTGCCCACTTTTTAATGGGGTTGTTTGCTTTTTCTTGTGAATTAGTTTAAGTCCCTTATAGATGCTGGATATTAGACCTTTGTCCAATGCATAGTTCACAAATATTTTCCCCCATTCTGTAGCCTGTCTGTTTACTCTGTTGATAGTTTATTTTTCTGTGTAGAAGCTCTTTAACTATTAGATTCCTTTTGTCAATTTTTGCTTTTGTTGCGATTTCTTTTGGCATTTTCTTCATGAAATCTTTGTCTCTGCCTACATCCTGAATGCTATTGCTTTGGTCGTCTTCCAGGGTTTTAATAGTTTTGGGTTTTACATTTAAGTCTAAAGACAAAAACCACATGACTATCCCAACACATTCATAAAAGGCTTTCAGTAAAATTCAACATCCCTTTGTCCTAAAAACTCTTAATAAGCTAGGTATTGAAGGAACATACCTCAAAATAATAAGAACCATATATGACCAATTCACAGCCAACATCATACTGAATAGGCAAATGCTGGAACTATTCCCCTTGAAAGCTGGCATGAGACAAGGATACCCTCTCTCACCATTCCTATTCAACATAGTATTGGAGGTTCTGGGTGGGGCAATCGGGCAAGAGAAAGAAATAAAAGGCATTCAAACAGGAAGACAGGAGGTCAAACTGTCCCTATTTGCAGATGACATGATCCTATATCTAGAAACCCCATTGTCTCAGCCCAAAAGATTCTTAAGCTGATAAGCAACTTCAGCAAAATCTCAGGATACAAAATCAATGTGCAAAAATCTCTAGCATTCCTGTACACCAACAATAGTCAAGCTGAGAGCAAAATCACTAATAAATTCTCATTCACAATTGCCACAAAAAGAATAAAATACCTAGGAAAACAGCTAACACAGGAAGTGAAAGATTTCTACAAGGAGAACTACAAACCACTGCTCAAAGAAATAAGAAATGACACAAACAAATGGAAAAATATTCCATGCTCATGGATAAGAAGAATCAATATCATGAAAATGGCCATACTGTCCAAGGCAATTTATAGATTCAATGCTATTCCCATTAAACTACCATTGGCATTTTTCACAGAACTAGAGGGAAGTATTTCAAAATTCACGTGGAACCAAAAAAATAGCCCAAATAGCTAAGGCAATCCTAAGCAAAAAGACCAAGGCTGGAGGCATTGTGTTAACTGTCTTCAAACTATACTACAAGGCTACAGTAACCAAAACAGCATGGTACTGGTACAAGAACAGACACAGACCAATGGAACAGAGTAGAGAACCCAGAAATAAGACCACAAACTTACAACTATCTGATCTTCAACAAACCTGACAAAAACAAGCATGAGGAAAGGATTCCCTTTTCAATAAATGGTCATGAGATAACTGGCTAGCTGTACACAGAAAATGGAAACTGGACCCTTTCCTTTCACCATATACAATAATTAACTCAAGATGTATTAAAAACTTCAATGTAAAACCTCAAACTATGTAAGCATCAAAATGTGCAATTCAAATAATTTTTACAAATATAATACAGTAGTTGTGTAACTACCACCACAATTAAGACATTAAACATTTTTATTACTCCCGCCAAGTTATTTTATGCCTCATCTCAGTCAATCCCCTCACTCCAACCCTGGCCACTGGTAACTGATGATTTGTTATTTGTGTGTTTGCATTTCTAAGCATTTTATGTAAGCAAAATAATAAATTATATATTTATTTGAGTCTGTCTTCTTTTGATTAATATAATGTTTTCAAGATCCATCCATGTTGTATCACTAGTACCCTGCCTTTCATTGCTTAGTAGTATACCTTTGTATAGATGAGTCACAATTTTTTTATTCATTCACCAGTTGTTGGACATTTGGGTTGTTACTAGGTTTTTACTATTATGAATAAAGCTGTTATGAATACTTGTGAAAAATTTTTGCATGAACATGTGTTTCCCTTTCTCTTACAGAAAATACCTACAAGTCAGATTGCTGAGTTACTTGATAAGTATAATCTTCACTTTCTAAGACAATGCCAAAGTGTTTTCAAAATAGCTATTCCATTTTGTATTTGCAGCAAAAACATACAGAAGTTTCTATTGCTGAAAGGTGGTACTTAAATTTTAGCCATTCTGGTGGATATGTAGTGGTATCTACTATGATTTAAATGAGCATTTTATTAATGATCAGTTACATTGAGCATCTTTTCATGTACTAATTGAAATTTTGTATCTTTTGTTTTATGAGATACCTGTTGAAATTTTTATTCACTTTTGAATCAGGATGCTTGTCTTTTAATTACTGAGTACTTTTGAAAACAAATCAATTTGAGGAAAACTATTTTCAAGTTTTGTTTTTTTTTTTTTCTGAATAGACTTTTTTTTTTTTTTTTTTGAGACAGAGTCTAGCTCTGTCGTCCAGGCTGGAGTGCAGTGGCGCGATCACGGCTCACTGCAAGCTCCGCCTCCCGGGTTCACGCCATTCTCCTGCCTCAGCCTCCCGAGTAGCTGGGACTACAGGCGCCCGCAACCACGCCTGGCTAATTTTTTGTATTTTTAGTAGAGACGAGGTTTCACCGTGTTAGTCAGAACGGTCTCGATCTCCTGACCTTGTGATCCACCCGCCTCGGCCTCCCAAAGTGCTGGGATTACAGGCGTGAGCCACCGTGCCCAGCCTCTAAGTAGGTTTTTAATAGATGCCCACTATCAATTTGAGGAAGTTCTCTTCTACTGTACTTTGCAGAATTTTTTTAAATCATCAATCATTGTTATACTTCTGTAAATTTTTTCTGTATCTACTTAGAAAATCGTATATTTTACTTACATACTGTCAGTATGTCAAAACCCTTTGATTTTCAAATGTTAAACCAACATTGAATTTCTAATATACACCTCACTTCATCATGATTTATTATTACTTTTTTATCTTCCTGGACTCACTAGATTTTTGCATAAATATTCATGAGGCAAATTGATTTTGGGGTTAGTTTTTTTTTCCTTTAATATATTTGTCTTGTTCTGGGATCAGAGAAATGCTTTCTTCATAAAGTGAGTAAAGAAGGCTTTGCTTATGTTCTATTTTCTAGAATTTGTGCAGAATTGGTATTACTTTTATCTTAAATGTTCAGTAGAATTTACCAGTGAAGCTATCTGGGTCTGGAGTTTGCTTTTTAGAGTTTACTATGAATCCAATATTTGAATATATGACGTCCTTTTCAAATCACCTATTTCTTCTTGAGTGAGCTTTGGTAGATGTGTCTTTAAGGAATTTATCCATTTCAGTCATGTTTACAAGTCTACAGACATGAAGTTGTTTATAATATCCTCTTTTCATTCTTTTAATGACTACAGTAACTGGAGTGATCATCTCTCTTTATTGTTGACACTAGTAATTTTGTCTTCTCTTTTTATTTGGGTCAATTTAGCATGATACTTTTATCAATTTATAAATGTTTTCAAATATCATATTTT
This sequence comes from Homo sapiens, assembly GCF_000001405.40. Taxonomy (NCBI): domain Eukaryota; kingdom Metazoa; phylum Chordata; class Mammalia; order Primates; family Hominidae; genus Homo; species Homo sapiens. Next base: position 36,595,814 of record NC_000023.11, read on the forward strand.
GTTTTCATTAATCTTTTTGTATCATATGTGAATTTTCTGTTTTGTTTGTTTCAGCTTCTCCTTTTATCATTCTTTTCTTCACCTTATTTTCATTTTATATTGCTCATCTTTCCCAGGCTTTTAAGGTGGAAACCTAGATCACTGAATCAAGACCTTTTTTTCTAATATAAATATTTAAAACTATAATTTCCCTCTAAGCATGTCTTTCACTGTAACCCCCAAATTTCAATATGTGGTGTATTCACCTTAATCTTTTCAAAATATCATTTCATTTTTATTGGGATTTATTCTTTCACAAATGGGTAATTTAGAACTGTAGCATTTAATTTCTAATTATTTGTGGATTTCCTATGTATCTTTCTGTTACTGATTTTTTTTCTTTTTTCTTTTTTTCTTTTTTACTTTATTATTATTATGCTTTAAGTTTTAGGGTACATGTGCACCGTGTGCAGGTTAGTTACATATGTATACATGTGCCATGCTGGTGTGCTGCACCCATTAACTCCTCATTTAGCATTAGGTATATCTCCTAAAGCTGTCCCTCCCCCCTCCCCCCACCCCACAACAGTCCCCAGAGTGTGATGTTCCCCTTCCTGTGTCCATGGGTTCTCATTGTTCAATTCCCACCTATGAGTGAGAATATGCGGTGTTTGGTTTTTTGTTCTTGCGATAGGTTACTGAGAATGATGATTTCCAATTTCATCCATGTCCCTACAAAGGACATGAACACATCCTTTTTTATGGCTGCACAGTATTTCATGGTGTATATGTGCCACATTTTCTTAATCCAGTCTATCATTGTTGGACATTGGGTTGGTTCCAAGTCTTTGCTATTGTGAATAGTGCCGCAATAAACATACGTGTGCATGTGTCTTTATAGCAGCATAATTTGTAGTCCTTTAGGTATATACCCAGTAACGGGATGGCTGGGTCAAATGGTATTTCTAGTTCTAGATCCCTGAGGAATCGCCACATTGACTTCCACAATGGTTGAACTAGTTTACAGTCCCACCAACAGTGTAAAAGTGTTCCTATTTCTCCACATCCTCTCCAGCACCTGTTGTTTCCTGACTTTTGAATGATTGCCATTCTAACTGGTGTGAGATGGTATCTCATTGTGGTTTTGATTTGCATTTCTCTGATGGCCAGTGATGGTAAGCATTTTTTCATGTGTCTGTTGGCTGCATAAATGTCTTCTTTTGAGAAGTGTCTGTTCATATCCTTCGCCATTTTTTGATGAGGTTGTTTTTTTCTTGTAAATTTGTTTGAGTTCATTGTAGATTCTGGATATTAGCCCTTTGTCAGATAGGTAGATTGCAAAAATTTTCTCCCATTCTGCAGGTTGCCGGTTCACTGTGATGGTAGTTTCTTTTGCTGTGCAGAAGCTCTTTAGTTTAATTAGATCCCATTTGTCAATTTTGTCTTTTGTTGCCATTGCTTTTGGTGTTTTAGACATGAAGTCCTTGCCCATGCCTATGTCCTGAATGGTAATGCCTAGGTTTTCTTCTAGGGTTTTTATGGTTTTAGGTCTAACGTTTAAGTCTTTAATCCATCTTGAATTAATTTTTGTATAAGGTGTAAGGAAGGGATCCAGTTTCAACTTTCTACATATGGCTAGCCAGTTTTCCCAGCACCATTTATTAAATAGGGAATCCTTTCCCCATTGCTTGTTTTTTCGCAGGTTTGTCAAAGATCAGATAGTTGTAGATATGTGGCGTTATTTCTGAGGGCTCTGTTCTGTTCCATTGATCTATATCTCTGTTTTGGTACCAGTACCATGCTGTTTTGGTTACTGTAGCCTTGTAGTATAGTTTGAAGTCAGGTAGTGTGATGCCTCCAGCTTTGTTCTTTTGGCTTAGGATTGGCTTGGCGATGCAGGCTCTTTTTTGGTTCCCTATGAACTTTAAAGTAGTTTTTTCCAATTCTGTGAAGAAAGTCATTGGTAGCTTGATGGGGATGGCATTGAATCTATAAATTACCTTGGGCAGTATGACCATTTTCACGATATTGATTCTTCCTACCCATGAGCATGGAATGTTCTTCCATTTGTTTGTATCCTCTTTTATTTCATTGAGCAGTGGTTTGTAGTTCTCCTTGAAGAGGTCCTTCACATCTCTTGTAAGTTGGATTCCTAGGTATTTTATTCTCTTTGAAGCAATTGTGAATGGGAGTTCAGTCATGATTTGGCTCTCTGTCTGTTATTGATGTATAAGAATGTTTGTGATTTTTGTACATTGATTTTGTATCCTGAGACTTTGCTGAAGTTGCTTATCAGCTTAAGGAGATTTTGGGCTGAGACAATGGGGTTTTCTCGATATACAATCATGTCATCTGCAAACAGGGACAATTTGACTTCCTCTTTTCCTAATTGAATACCCTTTATTTCCTTCTCCTGCCTAATTGCCCTGGCCAGAACTTCCAACACTATGTTGAATAGGAGTGGTGAGAGAGGGCATCCCTGTCTTGTGCCAGTTTTCAAAGGGAATGCTTCCAGATTTTGCCCATTCAGTATGATATTGGCTGTGGGTTTGTCATAGATAGCTCTTATTATTTTGAGATACGTCCCATCAATACCTAATTTATTGAGAATTTTTAGCATGAAGGATTGTTGAATTTTGTCAAAGGCCTTTTCTGCATCTATTGAGATAATCATGTGGTTTTTGTCTTTGGTTCTGTTTATATGCTGGATTACATTTATTGATTTGTGTATATTGAACCAGCCTTGCATCCCAGGGATGAAGCCCACTTGATCATGGTGGTTAAACTTTTTGATGTGCTGCTGGATTTGGTTTGCCAGTATTTTATTGAGGATTTTTGCATCAATGTTCATCAGGGATATTGGTCTAAAATTCTCTTTTTTTGTTGTGTCTCTGCCAGGCTTTGGTATCAGGATGATGCTGGCCTCATAAAATGAGTTAGGGAGGATTCCCTCTTTTTCTATTGATTGGAATAGTTTCAGAAGGAATGGTACCAGTTCTTCCTTGTACCTCTGGTAGAATTCGGCTGTGAATCCATCTGGTCCTGGACTCTTTTTGGTTGGTAAGCTACTGATTATTGCCACAATTTCAGAGCCTGTTATTGGTCTATCCAGAGATTCAACTTCTTCCTGGTTTAGTCTTGGGAGGGTGTATGTGTCAAGGAATTTATCCATTTCTTCTAGATTTTCTAGTTTATTTGCGTAGAGGTGTTTGTAGTATTCTCTGATGGTAGTTTGTATTTCTGTGGGATAGGTGGTGATATCCCCTTTATCATTTTTTATTGTGTCTATTTGATTCTTCTCTCTTTTCTTCTTTATTAGTCTTGCTTGCGGTCTATCAATTTTGTTGATCTTTTCAAAAAACCAGCTCCTGGATTCATTAATTTTTTGAAGGGTTTTTTGTGTCTCTATTTCCTTCAGTTCTGCTCTGATTTTAGTTATTTCTTGCCTTCTGCTAGCTTTTGAATGTGTTTGACTACTGGGTACACAACGAAATGAAGGCAGAAATAAAGATGTTCTTTGAAACCAATGAGAACAAAGACACAACATACCAGAATCTCTGGGACACATTCAAAGCAGTGTGTAGAGGGAAATTTATAGCACTAAATGCCCACAAGAGAAAGCAGGAAAGATCCAAAATTGACACCCTAACATTACAATTAAAAGAACTGTTACTGATTTTTTGTATAACTTTTTTGGTAAGATAACATACTTTGTATTATTTCAATCCTTTTACAAGCATTAAGATTTGTTTTATTGCATAGCATGTGTTCTAACTTTGTTGTGCTGTGATTGGATAGAGTGTTCTGCATCTGTCAATTTGGTCAAGCTAGTTGGCAGTTTTATTCAAGTCTTACATATCCTGCACTATTAGCTATTGTACTGTCAACTGCCAGGAATGTTGTAGTCTTCAACTATTACCATAGATTTTCCAATTTCCCTTTTCAGTTCTATTAGTTTTTGTTTCATGTTTTTGAAGCTCTCTAATCAGGTGCATAAATATTTAAGATTGTTATGTCTTAATAAAATGACTTGCTTTTTAATATAATACCTATCTTTACCCCTGGAAATCTGTGTTCTAAAGTCAATTTGGTCTTACAATCACATAGCCACTACAACTTCCTTTTGATGCTGATACAGCTTCCTGTTTTCATGTTTTTCATACTTTTACATTTAACCTGTCTTTACATATGATTTAATGTTCGGTAGCACAATAGGGCATCTATAATTAACAATAACATTGTACATTTCAAAATAACTAAAAGAGTGAAATTAGAATGTTCATAACAGAAATAAATAATAAATGCTTGAGATAATAGGAAAATACAAGGTTTTTTTAGACAGCATATAGTTGGGTCACACTATCTTATCTAAATGACAATCTCTGCATTTTATTTGGAGTATTTAGACAATTTATATTTAATGTAAATAATGATATGATTTGGTTCAAATCTACCATCTTTCTATTTATGGTTGTTTACTTCCTTTTTATATATTTTGTATTTTTCTGCTTTCTTTTGGATTTTAATAATTATTTTTGTGATTTTGTTTTATCTGCAGTATTAGCTTACTTGATATACTACTCTGTTTTATTTTTATCAAATACCTTGGGATCCAAAATATGTATTTTTCACTTATCACAGTCTATCTTCAAATAAAGTCATGTAACTTCACATATGGTGTTATAACAATATGCTTAGGATTCTCTCCTGTGTTCTTTGTATTATTGTTATATACGTTATTTCTACTTATGTTACAAACAGTGAAATATATTGTTAAAATTTCTGCTATAATCATTCAGTTATCTTTTAAATAGACTAAAATGAGAAAACAATCTTTTATGTTAACCACACTTACCATTTCTGATGTTCTCCTTTACTTCATTTAGAACCAAATTACTATCAGTTATTTTTTCCTTTAGAAGCATTTATTTTAATAATTTTCATAGCTCTAGCCTGGTGGCAAAAAGTGTCTCGGCTTTTGTGTAAAAATGTATTTATTATATGTTTGTTTTCAAAAGACATTTTTGTTGGATAAATAATCCTATATGGACTTTTTTTTTCTTTCTTTAGTACTTCTGAGGTGCATAGTTGATGGTAAGTATGCTCTCATACTTATCTTTGTTTCTCTGTACATAATGTGAATTTCTCCTCTACCTTTAACATTTTTTTGTTTATACTGAGTCAACAATATGATTATAATGTGGAGTAGTGTGAGTGTGTATATGCGCATTTGTGTGTGTGTGTGTGTTTTCAGTTTATTCTGCTTGAGATTTATTGATCTTCTTGGAAATATGGTTATATTGTTTACATTAAATTTCAAAACTTTTTGGCCATTATTTTTTCAGATATCCTTTCCCCTCTTTTTGGGACATCAATTTCAGGGACATTCATTTTCCATTACTTATTATTCAGTCTTAATTCTCTCTGTATTTTATTTTTGATTGTTTGTATTGCTAAGTATTTAAATTAACATCCCTTTTCTTCTCTAGTATCTAAAATGTAGTTAGTTCCATATATTTATTTTTCTTTTTCATATATTGTACTAACATCACTGATAGTTCCATGTGTGTCATATCAATCTTCCACTTTTCCCCTCATCAGGTTCAGGTTTTTGTCTATATTCTTAAGCATATAGTACATAATTATAATAGCAATTTTAAGGTCATTTTTGGTCAATTCCATCATCTCCATAATTCATGGGTTTATTTTTTATTGAATGATTATTTCTTCTGGCTATAGGTAATATTTTTTGCTCCTTTCCTGGCAATTTTTGATTTAATGCTGGCCTTTGTTAATTTTACTTTGTTGTGTTCTGGATATTGTATTTCTTTAAAGAGTATTGCATTTGTTCTGTCACAATGAAATTTGGATTCAACTTAATCCTTTCAAGAGCTGATATTAAGCTTTGTTAAGGCAAGTTCAGAAAAATATTTATTTTAAGGATATTTAGCATTACTATCATGGTGATAATTTTCTGATAACTCCATTGGATGCTCCATGGATTATGAACTCTCTATCCTGGCCAGGGGGATGCAAACTATCCATAGCCTTCCGTGAGATCCTAGAATTTTTTGGGTTACTGCTTTCCAATGATTCTGTCTTCATCCTTCTGGAAATTCTCCTCACATATACACAGATCAGCATTCCACCAAATATTCAAGGGGAACTCCGCAAAGTTCAAGGGATGTGTTAACCACCATAGAAAACATGGTTTTGCTTCTTCCTCTTTAATAGTCTGCTACTGAAACTCTAGCCAACTCAGCCCCTCTGAACTCACATTTCTGTCTTCTTAACTCAGTGAGATCACTGGAGCCTATTTTAAAACTGTTACTTGTCCTCCAAATTACCTAGAAGCTTCCTATAGGGTAGCTGAAGAAGTCATAGAGCTCACCTTATTTCTTTCTCTCATAGATCCCAATTTCACACTGCCAATTGACCAGTGTCTGAAAACACTTGTTTGATATGTTTTCTCTAACTTTCCAGCAGCTTAGACTGGGATGACAGTTTCCATAATAATTAATCTACTCATCAGATAATTCTAGTGACAATGTTCCATATGTTATGTTGTAAACTATGTTTATTTTAATTCCTTACTTACTGTGTCACCTTGAAAAGAATGCTAAACTTTAATAAGCCATTTCTGGGACTAGCCACTGGAATAGCGGGGAAGTTCATCCTTATTAAACTGTATAGAATTTTGTTAATATTTGAAGTTCCCAATAAAATCTTGAGTCTAAATCCCGGGTCTTCAGCAAGTTAATAATGATATTTAATCTTAAGTTTCTCATTTTTGAAATAGACATAAAAATAATGCTTACTTTATGAAACTATTGTGAAAAATAAGATAATGTATATAGAGAACTTAGCTCAATGCCTAGAATGTTTGGTGCTCAATAAAGAATAGCTTTAGTTTCTATTTATGTAATTTAATGAAATGGATACATAGTAACTTAGTATGTAAAGAGAATATTATAAGAAGAAACATTAAAGTTTATTATACTGATGCATAATTTTTGATTATGTTATTTCTTATAGTGTGCAACCTAACAATGAGCAAGTCTATTGTTTTATTCCCATGAGGATGCCTTTCAACAAACATTTATTAAAAACTTACTATATATGAAACACACTAGTAGGCACATGGGATAGGAAAATATTGATGATAAACAGTCCATGACATTAAGTACCTTACAATCTAACAGTCAACCCTACAATAAAAGTCCTCCTTCATTGACACGAGCATATAACTACCTTAAACTAGTCTGGAATAAGATCTCTAATATAATTATTCTTTAAAATATTTAAAATTGTATGCTGTTTTTATTTTCACCTGAATTGTTATTTCTCCTTTTCTACTATCTTTGGATTTGTTTCTCTCCGGGACTATTGTGACATCCAAAAAGAGGGCTCTATCCTTCCTACCTATGCATCTTTGTGCATACCCAAACTGCCCCTTGCCTCATAGCATAGTTTGCCCCTCCCCATCATATAGTGAATATATATTTTACTATAATTTTTAAGAATCTCTGTTCTTTTCATTTGAATTCCTAAATTAAGTTTGTTGCCAATTCCTCCCAAAATTCATTAAAGAAAAATATCTGAGGAACTCTGTGACAGTTCAAATAGCATATGGTATAGTGACCTAGCTTTTGATAATAACCCACCCTTATGAGGTAGTACTTAAAACCCATGATGGAGGGAGAAGAGCTAAACAGGCACCATGTATCTACAGAACAGAAACATGAGCCACTAAACACTAAAGTTGAAGACAAAACACATGTGAAAGCAAATACGATTAGCACATTATGCTTCTAGTTGACCAAGAACCAATTCCCCACAGAAACTTCTTACAAAAGTTAGAGAGTGCTTTGTCCGTGTGCTGATTTCCTGTGTCATGCTTTCAAGTCTCATCCACACTCATTCCCAGTTCCCTGAGATTTGCAAGTTGTCACAGAGCCATTCCTATGTCTTAACATGTAACAGTATTAATGCATTTGTGTGATGTATTTGTGTGTTTTTCTATGTCTGAAAGGACTTGTTGACCATAACATAACACATATTGGGAACTAATATGGTGCTTCTGATGTTTAATCACATTTTGACTGCAATTACATATTTGCTCCTGCTTTTACTGAATTTGGTCTGTCTTTGCCATGCTTTCCTGTACATGGAGCCTGCTCATGAGGCATAGTTCTTCAGTTTTATTCCTTATGACCTAGTGTTCAGTGTAATCCTGAAAATTCCACCCTCTGTGACTCCTCACAACATATTCTGACTTCTACAAAGACCTCCTGGATACCTTGCATGTTATACACCTTTGGCCTTTATGAATTCGAAATTGCACTGATGCTGTTCTTATAACAGTATCCTTCTCTGTGTGTTATTTTACCACAGATTTATTCTTTGTAGTCCTGGCTTGCAAGATCTTGCATGTCCCTTTCCTCCTAGTTAAATTATTTGTCTATACATTGCCATAAGAAGACATGCATAGCATTGAAGATCACCTGCCAGTTATAAAATAAAATCCTGACATTCAGTGTAATTATAACATGATTTATTTATGGTTGCAAGTTATTGTCTTCTACTAGCACTATAATGCTATCACTATACTACTTCTATCATAGTGTGCTCAAAACTGAATGATTGTTTTGAACATGTCCATAGACTTCCTTGTCTCTGCTTTCCTTTACTTCAAATGCCCAACCCAGACATCTCTCCGTTTACAAAAATGAACCTCATTTATTTCAGTTTTTCTGTCTCCCTATTCTGGTCCAGGGCACACTATGGTTTTTAAAATCATGAAGACATATATTATTCAAGAAATTAAGGTACAAAGACTGAAACAAAAATAGAATTTCATAGTGTCCTGTATTCCATTTTTAGCATCACTGCCTATAAACACCGAGATATTTCTCATAGAGTGTACCAGTGAAACCATCCTCACAGGGTTAACAAGAATTCTGGACAGAAACATAGTTATAATTAAGCATTAATCAGGCTACACTTTGACCCACTTTCTTGTTGCTAAAAGTTGCATAGCACTAGATAATGACCATTTGCATCCTTATTGTTCCTATAGATAAGATTTCTGACATTAGGAGTATAAGAGTGTTTAAGAAGTAATTTGCATTCCCATTGTTTCTATAGACAGGATCTCTGACATTAGAATCATAAGGCTTTTGTTTAAGAATTGCTTAAGATTTTATTCAGATCCTGAAACATTTGATGCCAACCAGTTTGAAGATCCTCACCAAAGAACAGAATCAGCATAAGTATAATTTCTTTATCTCCCTGTTTCATGACTTTGCCCTGCACTCTTCAACCAGTCAAGGATTTCCACATTTTGGCCCACTCCAAAACTCTAATAACCCCAGCTCCAAACTCTTCAAGAAAATGGCTTTGTGGGTTCCTCCCATTTATTCGTTCAGTGGTCCTAAAATAAACCTCTTTCTCTGTGGCAACCCAGTGTCTCAGAGCATTGATGTGCTGCAGGCATCAGGCAACGGACCTGTTATAGTTACACCAGCTTTTACCTAAAGAAGGAATTCTTATGTTTTCCAGACAATCTTGAATCCCTGACATGTCATTGCTCAGTCACTTATAAGTGTCATGACATTAAATGAAGTATTCTGCTTTACAGCATACACTGTCCCTAGAAAGATGTATTTGAGGGATAATCACTGTATTACTTTGCCTGGGACAAAAATTTGGGGCCAATATATGAAACAAGAGGGCACATCTCTCCCACATCTATTTTTGGAGACACATAACTTAAAAGAACAACCAAATGGAATTCTTAAACAAGAAACTTTTTAAACCAGAAGATTTATTATTATCATTCATTTTCCCTTAGAGAAGATATGCAATATGTCTTCTGAGGAAAGGGCTCTGTGATTTGTCCTACTTTGCTTATGTAAGGCAGAAAAAATATCTTTTCCTTACTCATCCCAGGTTTATGTTTTAGGCCTCTATAAGAAAAGATATATTGGCCTGGCGTGGTGGCTCACTCCTGTAATCCCAGCAGTTTGGGAGGCAGAGGCAGGCGGATTGCTTGAGCCCAGGAGTTCAAGACCAGTCCGGGCAACATGCCAATACCCCATCTCTAGAAAAAATACAAAAAATTAGCTGGTGATGGTGGTGCATGCCTGTGGTTCCAGCTACTCAGGAGGGTGGAGTGGGAGAATCACCTGAGTCCAGGAAGTGGAGGTTGCAGTGAGCTGTGATCACGCCACTGCACTACAGCCTGGGAAACAGAGTGAGACTCTGTCTCCAAAAAAGAAAAGATTAACAGGAGAAAAGCAATAATATTATTTCATACAAGTTTTACATGACACAGGAGCCTTCATAAGGAAAGGAAAATCCACAGAAATGTTAAACTTGTTTATCTTTAAAAAGATTGAACAATCATGGACAAACAGGATTAGACAAGGGTATGATCTAATGATAATAAACTAGGGAAAACTTAGCAAATAAGGCTTGTTTTCTTAGATTCTCCTTGGCATGTCTGTGCCTTTGGCTCCTTTCCTCCAGGTATAGGTAGAGCACTTCTCAAATGAAGGTTTTATTATCTTTTTCAGGGAAAAACAGCAGAGAAAGGTGAGAGTGACCTTTCTTCTGCCATTTTTTTTAAATGCCAAGGGTCATATTTTGGGGTAGAATGTCCTGAACCTCATCATTTAACATTCAGAACATGTTTTCAGGAAAAGGGAAAAAATTTAACATACTATTGGGTATAGGTTTTAGGATTCATTTGGGACTTTCTGCAGGATTGCTTATGACACCTTTCATTTAGATCGTGGTTAAGTGCCATGTTCTTCTCAAAGCTCTTCCGATTACTTAATAGAGAAGTGATATCACCCTTATTTCAACTCGTATCAAAAGGGTTCTTGTAGTACATGACATTCTGTAATGTTCACTCCTTGAGGACAAAACCTGTTGCTTATTTCATTGTAATTCCAATATCAACCAAAACAATGATTTAAACATATTAAGTACTTAAAATTGTGACTTTGGAGTTACAAAATCCTGACTCTGAAACCTGACTGTATTATTTATTATCAGGGTACCTATTGTTTCCTCCCCCAGCAAGTATTAATGAAGCATCATGCAATGTCAAACTAAAAAGATTAAATGATCTTAAATTAATAAACTACCTTTATACATTAAGAACCTACAAAAAGAAGAACAAGCTAATTTTTAGTATTGTGAGAGTACAGTTGGTACAAACAGAAACCCATGTCTTCAATTCTGATGTGCTAGAGCTGGGTACCAGCCTCTAAGAACACAAAGAAGTTTATTGAATCATGAAACACTTTCACCTTCTTTTGTGTCAGACTCTCATTCATCCTTCAATTCTTTGATAAGTAGCTCTTTCTTCCTAAAAGCCTCCTGTGTTGGTTATTCTTTTTGCTGTGTACTAATCCGTAACCCCACCCCACCTTGGCCAATTCTCCATCCTTCTGCCCTGCTCTGGGTCCTGGTTAGCTGACCCACCAAGATTGAATAACCTGGGCTCCCTTGCCTCAAGGGTTTGGCCAATGAAATAAAGTCAGATGAAAAAGGGAACAGGATGTTTCCTCTCAAGCTCCCTCCCTGCTCTGGGTAATATCTAGTGAACACCTTCTAACTCAAATTTTTACTACAATTAGTAACACTGTTTTCCCTCTTTTTCCCTTCAGACACAAGGGTGGGGGTAAGAGTCTCCTGTTCTCTATAGATAGTACCTGCAGTATTTATTGATTCCCTTAATCCCACCTACATCTCTGTAAATGATCCCTTTCTTCAAGGTTTTTATGCCACCTGAGTTGTATTTTATTTCTTACTAAGATTTTGACGGTACACCTTCTCTAAGTTTTTAGATTAGGTTAGTTGCTCCCACTGTGAACTTACATCTCACCCTGTACTTCTACATTACAGCATTTATGATACATTACTGCAATTATTTATTTAAACTCTTGATCTTTTCTTCCAGACTTTGTGAAGAAAGGTATGCATTCTATATTATGCACTATTTTGTTAGCCAGTTCTCCTCACAAAGTTTAGCATCAGCAAGTAGTAATTGAGCGTTAACAAATGAGTAATTAGTAGGTGGGATAATTATTTCTCTTCAAAATATTTCATAACATAATAAAGATAAGCTCTGAAGGATGACAATATTTCATCAAAAATAGCTCTATGACAGATCATCAAAGAAAGACTCATGACCCAATTCTTTATACATGATGCCAGAGAATCAGTTCCTTTCTGTCCTGGTTTAGACTCTGGACTGCAAGATAACTCAGGTCTTTTAGATCTTTCAAAATATTTATAAACCAAAAAACTATTCCCTTGCGTAAAATATTTCCAGCCCTGTTAGAGTTGGAGAGCTGACATTGATAAAACACTGGGCAAGTTAATGAGTATTATGGTTAGGTGTCTACCGGTGTGCAGACCTGTGTGAGGCTCTGTGGCATGATATAGTATGGACTACTAATGTTGTTGTCTGTGTTTGACTCGTATGCTACTATAAGCCTTATATTATAGGCATGAATCATTTTCCCTGGAAGCCTTCTTTAGGAGCCCTCCTGAGTTCCCACTACCTCTTAATTTGTAGATGAGGAAAATGTAAGGCATTTCAGAAACCACTTTTGAAAGTCAGGAATATTTTGCCTTTTCAATGGAATATTCTGTTCTGCCTTCTGTAATAAAGCTGCATCTTATTTGTCTTTCAGGGCATGGGATGGTGTTTGGCACCATAGTAAAAACAGGATAAATTCATAAAATAAATAAAGAAAAAGTTAAGCAGTAAATACCAGACTTGCCTAACTCAGTCCCCAGAAGCATATACTTCTTTACAGAGAGAGAAACTAAATGGACATGAAGAAAGGAGCATCGAAATGATGAAGCATATTCCCTGGGAGATAATATATGTCATTCTAAAATACAGAGGTATGTGCAAACCCTCCAGCTGCAGACACACTGCTCTTTGAAATTATACATTGCATGGATTTGAACAACAATACTTAAAAATGAATGTAGAAATGGCAAGAGCAGCAAAACATAGTTGCTGAACTTTAAGAAGCAGAATATTTATATGAGAAAGACTAAAGCTTCTGCTATCAGTATATCAGTTCTGAAATTCAGAGAAAGTAGTCTTACACAAAGAAGGGTTAGAGGTAGAATTTGGACACTTTTGTTAACAAAAAGGGGGATGCAAAATCAAGGCAATGAAGTAAGAAGATCCATAATAAATTTGGTTTTGAGTTACTTTAGTCACTTTCAGTAACCACATCCATGATGCATTTATTTGCAAATTCCTATAAATCTATAAGTGCATTAAGTGATGTTGATCATCAAAATATAGCTCAATCTATTCCTTTACTTGCATACCTTTACTCTAATCCCCTTTTGTTGTCTTCATAAAATCATAAGTAATAAGTCATGTTAGGGATTATTAAGTAGAAAGACATGAAATAGGTGTATGAAGCCAAAATAAAAATCATGATATTGATTTTCTAACTTCACAAACTAGGCAACTATAACTTAAAAAATTAATGCCCTACAGATAATTAGTTATCATCCCCATATGGATGATTACTCCCTTTCAGGATGACCAGTGATTTGAGGAAAGCCTGGGGAAAGTGTTGGTGATGGTCAAGTCCTTCTTTTTACACTTCCTGTTCTGTAAAAACTAAAATACATTTACTCAATACTTTTTTCTTGTCTCAAAGACCTCCTGAATATTTTCCAGATACAAAAATTCCTTCTTCCTTCATTGATTCCATGGCAGTGAAGTAATGATTTTTCTTCCCAATAGCGTACGCTTCTGAAAAGCAGTAATGATGAACACTTCCCACTATTAGTGGAATTTGTTTATTGAGTAGTGTAGGCCCTGATATCGACTTTTAGAATTTCAGTTCTCTGTTTCATCATAAGCAAATTCCACATGCATTTTATTAAACACCCACTTTCTTCACATTCGACTGACTAATACAATGTACAGATATTGTGTAAACCTCTCTAGTGCTGGAGAAATGCTATTTTATGGAAGTGGTAACTTGATATGAAATAGTAATTTCATCCTTAAAGAATGTAAAGCCTCTCCACTGTTCAAACAAGGCTGTGGTGAGATGGACAAACATACAGGAATAGAAAAGCTTATCAGAGTCTCAGCAGAATCTTAAAAACATCTCAGCCAAAAACATTGCTGGAGTGAAAGGAAAGCAGAAGTACAGGGACTAGAATGAGATCATAGTGGGTAAGGGTAGAAATTCACTTTCTTGGGGAAGTGAAATTCACTTTGTGGGAAGAGGTAAAATCTGCCTGAGAAGTTAAAAAAATGTGATTTGAGTTAAGCTTTGTAGAAAGTGATTCTAAAATAGCTGTTACATGGGATATCCACTAGAAGCAAGGAGACTAAGTTGGAAGCTATTACCAAGACTAAGGAAAGATTTGTTATCATGAGCCAAATATTAATATGTGGTCAAAATCCAAAGAATCTACCCAGGAAGGGAGAAGTCAATGATTGCCAGAGGTCCTGGGGTTCAGCCCTGGAGGAGGGAGATTCACTGCACAGGTAATTAGCGTAGATGTTCAAGTACTGAAGTTTCTAGCAGGCAGTGGAGGACCTGCCTGGCTCGAGTAAAAAGAAATGACTAAGAAATGACTAAGTTATAACAATGCTAGTGAGGAATCTATTTTCAAGGTCTTATTTCATTGAATACTAACACTCAACACATCATACAAAGATGACAGCCAATAAATGTTGTTGATGAGCATGACTAAGTTAAAGTTCAAAAGTTTCCATTTTTAGATTGAGAGTGTCAAAAATAAGAATGATAAAAGAACTTAAAAAAATTAGAAAACTTCATATGGAAGAAAGGAAAAAAATGTTACCTTGGAATAAGTAAATTTTATGTTTCAGTATTTCCAAAGAATGGCATAATTTATATCATAGAGGTTTTTTTAAATTCTCAAATTATCCTGATTAGTCAGATTTGGACTTCTGATTGAGAAAAATAAGGCTTCTTAGAAATAAACTAAACCTAAGGTGAGCCATAAAAATTAGATTACTATTACTCTTACACATACAATAAAATAGTGATACTGAAATTACTATTAGCCAAAGAGAAAGTAGGTAGGGTATGACAGAAATGTAATGGGGCTAGAGAGAGTAAATGAAAGTATTAAACCAAGTCCTAACAGGATAACAAGAGCAGTTATGTTTCTTGGAATTTTACTAATAATTTTTGGAAGAAATATTTCCAGTGTTAACTGTTCATTTTAGGATTATATAATCTTCTTCCATTACCTTAAAGTTTTGTCAAAGTCTGCTACAAGCAGGAGCCTTTTTTAAATAGCACTTTGGAGGAATGAAAGGAAATTGATGATGTCCAGCATGGGATAAACTAGGTCAAGAAGAAAAGAGCAATTGGAAAAACAGTTGAAAATGCTGCAGAAACAATACATAGAAGCAAGAGAGACCAAAAGAAGTATGGTTATCTGCAAGGGAACCCTTGGAGATGTTAGGGATGCATGGCATAAAGCTGATTCACTGTGCACCGGCTACCAACCTGTGTGAGTCTGGTGAGAGAGAATATACTCACAACAAGTTACATGAAGTGGATTTATTACTTACAGATAGGCATCAAGAGACAGAAGAAATTTTGGATCCATTGTGAGCTGGTACCCCAAGGCTCAAGAAAGCTGCCAGGGGAGGATGGTCTTTAGTGTGCATGTTCTGTTTGCACCATGGCTGAGGGACCTGAAAAAACAGTCCACCATGGGTTATATACCTTTGGGATAACATAACTTACTTGGCAATGATTTGAAGGACACTCTGCTTCAAGGGGACAGAGAAGCAAAGCCTAGGCTGTCCCTGGAATTTCCTTTCTACCTCAAGAAATTACATTCCCTAGGAGGGACACAAACAAGGCGTAGGCTGTTTTGGGCAGTTCTCCCTATTTCATGGTATTGAACTCTCAGCACATTCTACAGTTATTCTTGAGAACTGCAGGCATTAAGAGGAGAAATGGGTCAGTCTAAGGCCACCCAGAAAATGGTCCTGCACATGTGACTTCCCTCAGTAACTGGGTTGAGGACTTGAGCCATTGTGTTTGGCTATGAAAGGAAAGCATGAAGGTGACCATATCAAGCTTGAGACTTTGGAGGATACAGCAGACACTTGGTGTACACTTAGATCTGCATTATACAGAAAGAAAATAATTCAAAATTTCTCTTTTAACCAAGTGAAAATAGACACAGAAGAGTCAAGAGTTTTCTGAATTCACTAAGCTGATGCTAGAGTCAGGTCTCCAAATGCTTATTTTATGGTATTTTCTGCTATAAAATTCTCATTCTATATCTAAAAGAAAATTTAGAAAACATGCATCAATTTTATGATAATTTCTAAAATAAGTAAACCCTGATTATTATTTTAATTTATCCAAATGTTTATTCCATTACTCATTCTGACTCTCAGTGACTTTTTTCCACATGTGGCCGTGTGTAAAGCTTAAAAAAACAAGCCACATTTTCTTAATCCAGTCTATCGTTGTTGGACATTTAGGTTGGTTCCAAGTCTTTGCTATTGTGGATAGTGCCGACATATACACCATGGAATACTATGCAGCCATAAAGAAGGATGAGTTCATGTCCTTTGTAGGGACATGGATGAAACTAGAAACCATCATTCTCAGCAAAGCATCGCAAGGACAAAAAACCAAACACCGCATGTTCTCACTCATAGGTGGGAATTGAACAATGAGAACACATGGACACAGGAAGGGGAACATCACACACCGGGGACTGTTGTGGGGTGGGGGGCGGGGGGAGGGATAGCATTAGGAGATATACCTAATGCTAAACGACGAGTTAATGGGTGCAGCACACCAACATAGCACATGTATACATATGTAACAAACCTGCATGTTGTGCACATGTACCCTAAAACTTAAAGTATAATAATAATAAAATTAAAAAAAAAAACAAAAAAAAAAACAAAACAAGCAAACAAAATGCATGTGATCTAATAATAGAAATTCAGAGAAGCTCTAAATATATTAATTAAAAATACAGTGTTTCCCTTACAAAATGTACATCAACCATAAAACAAAGGTGTATACGTACAGAATACAGAAAAAAATACATACCTTGTCAACCATATGACAGCTCCTGAATGAGATAATTTTCTATGAGTCTACTACTTTAAGAAGTCATGCAATTCTCAAGCAAGATAGCCAACTAGATGCAGCCAGGAAGACCTTCTCTCATCGAGAAACCTGATGATAAAGAAGACTAGCACACACCAAGCATTGTCGGAAGGCAATGAGACTGGATAGAAGAGGGACACAGACTCTGGGTTGAAGAGGGTGGTAGCTGGGAGCCCTACATGGGGTTGCCAAGCACCAGGACTTGTTTCTGGCATTCAGCAGCTTTTGGTGAATGAGTGAGTTAAGTAGATGCAGTGTGGCCCACTCTTGGCACAGGCCTCCATAATCCTACCTGCAGTAGACCCCACTACCACCATGGACGCTTGGGCTGGCTGCGTGGAGAGTTGTCAGGGACAGGACTCCAGCCTGCATGGAGCCCAGAGTGTTTGGCATGATAATGGCTAAAGTGGAGCACTGCCAGGGATGCCTGTCTCCCAAAGTTTGTTATGCGCCTTTAGGTGGCTTTGGCCTTTGTCGACTCTTGGATTTGACAAAACAGGGTTTGTTGCCCATGGGACAGGGCCAGACTGATCTGAATGGCAACAGTTTTCCATTCTCCCCCAGGGTCCCTGCCTAGTTGCACCCACTTGCAGTGCAGCTTCAAATGCTCAACCAGGGCATAACCCAGCAGCCACTGCCATATAGCTCTTTTGCCAGAAGACCCCGCCTAATCATAAGAGAACTTTTGCAGATAGGCCCCTGCCAGCATGCACCTGACCACAGCCACCCACTGACACTTTGCTGGCACACATGTGTAGATCTTGCCACCACCATCCTACTGCCACAAGCATGTGAATGGACCCTACTGCCAATGGAGCATTCATACAAGCATGGGCTCTGCTGACACCACCTCAATGAGCACTTTTGCCAACAACTCCCATAGGAGTGTTGTTGCCAGGAGACCAGGAACACCTCTGCCCATCTAGTGCACTACGTGCTTAACCTTGAGGGGCCAAAGAACACAGCCATGGGCCTGGTACCAACACCCCAGGGTTAGAGCATGCAGCCAGGAGTGCTGAGCTGAGCCTTATTCCCCTGAAAGCATCCAGACATGAAGCCAGTTGTCTCAACTCAACTTATACCACAGTAAAACCCTCAAAAACACCAAGGAATATAGAAACAAAAAGCCACATCCAAAGGACAGCAACATCAAAGATGAAAGGAACATCAGCTCACACAGATGAGAAAGAGGCAATGCAAGAACTCTAGCAACTCTAAAAGCCAGAGTGTCTTCTTACCTCCAAATAACCACACTAGTTTCTCAGCAATAGCCCAACTGAAATCGCTGAAATGACAGACATAGAATTCAGAATATAAATGGCAATAAAGATCATTGAGATTCAGGAGAAAATTAAAACCCAATCCAAGGAATTTAGTAAAATGATTCAAGAGTTGAAAGACAAAATAGCTATATTAAGAAAAAATCAAACTGATTTTATAGAGCTGAAAAACTCACTATAAGGATTTCATAATAAAATCAGAAATGTTTGCAGCACCATAGACTAAACAGAGGAAAAGATCTCAGAGCTTGAAGACCATTTATTCAAATCAACTAAGTCAGACAAAAATAAAGAAAAGGACAATAAAAACAAATAAACAAAGCCACTGAGAAATATGAAAATATATAAAGAGATGAAACCTATGACTCATTGGCATCCCCAAAAGAGGGAGAGAGAGCAAGCAACTTGGAAGATATTTTTAATATTGTGCATGAAAATTTCCCCAACCTCAATAGAGAAGTTGACATTCAAATTCCAGAAAATCAGATAACCCTTGAGAGATATTATACAAGATGAACATCTCCCAAGACACGTAGTCATCAGATTCTTCAAGGTCAATATGTAAGAAAAAATATATTAAAGGCAGCTAGAGAGAAGGGACAGGTCACCTATGAAGGAAGCCTGATCAGGCTAACAGCAGAATATTCAGTAGAAACATGACAAACCAGAAGAGACTTGGGATATATATTTGGCATCCTTAAAGAAAAGAAATGCCAACCAAGATTTTCATATCCAACCAAACTAAGCTTCATAAGTGAAGGAGAAATAAAATCCCTTTCAGATAAGCAAATGCTAAGGGAATTTGTTACCATCAGACCTGCCTTACAAAAGGTCCTTAAGAGAGTGCTAAACATGGAAACAAAAGACCATTACCAGCCACAATAAAAGTCCACTTAAGTACAAAGTGTATTGACACAATAAAGCAAATATACAATCAAGTCTACATAATAACTAGCTAGCAACGTGATGACAGGATCAAATATGCACATATCAATATTAACTTTGATCATAAATGGGCTAAACGCCCCACTTAGGCACAGAGTGGCAAGGTGGATAAAGAAGCAAGACCCAACGGTATACTGTCTTCAAGAGACCCATCTCACATGCAAGGACATCCATAGACTGAAAGTAAAGGAATGCAGAAAAATCTACCAAGCAAACAGAAAACAAAAGAAAACAGGAGTTTCTATTCTAATTTCAGGCAAAACAGATTTTAAACCAACAAAGATCAAAAAAGAAAAAGAACAGTATTACATAATGGTAAAGGGCTCAATTCAACAAGAAGACATAACTATCCTAAATATATATGCACCCAACACATGAACACCCAGATTTATAAAATAAGTATTTAGACACCTATGAAGAGGATTAAATAATTACACAATAATAGTGGGAAACTTTAACACCTCACTGACAGAGAAATCATCGAGGCACAAAACTAACAAGGGTATTTGGGACTTAAGCTTGACACTTGAAGAGATGGACCTAACAGACATCTACAGAACATTCCACCCAACAAAAACAGAATATACTTTCTTCTTACCTGCACATTGCACATACTCAGATCAACCACATGCTCAGCCATAAAGTAACTCTCAAAAAATTCAAAGAAACTGAAATCATACCAAACATATTCTCAGTCCAAAGTGCAATAAAAGTAGATATTGGTTCCAAGAAGTTCTCTCAAAACATTTCCTCCTGGGTGACTTTTGAGTAAACAATGAAACTAAGGCAGAAATCAAGAAATTATTTAAATGAATGAAACCTCAAAGATACAACAGACCAGAATCTCTGGGACACAGCTAAAGCAATGTTAAGAGGAAAATTTACAGCACAAAATACACATATCAAAAAGTTAGAAAGATCTAAAATTAGCAACCTAACATCACACCTCGTGGAACTAGAGAAATAAGAGTAAATCAACCCCAAAGATAGTAGAAGAAAAATAACCAAAATCAGAGCTGAATTGAATGAAATGGAGATGTGAAAAATGATACAAAAGATCAGTGAAACCAAAAGTTTGTTCTTTGAAAGAATGAATAACATTGATAGACTACTAAATATACTAATTTTAAAAAATCCAAATAAACACAATCAGAGATGACAAAGAGGACATTGCCACTGATCCCACAGAAATACAAAAAAAAAAAAACCCTCAGAGAATTACAATCACCTCTCTGCACACAAACTAGAAAATCTAACAAAAATTGATGGAATCCTGGAAACATACAAACTTTTTGTTTTTTTTTTTTTTTGAGACAGAGTCTCGCTGTGTCACCCAGGATGGTGTGATCTCTGCTCACTGCAGTCTCCACTTCTCGGGTTCAAGTGATTCTGCTGCCTCAGCCTCCCGAGTAGCTGAGACTACAGGCGTGCACCACCACACCCAGCTAATTTTTGTATTTTTAGTAGAGACGGGGTTTCGCCATGTTTGCCAGGCTGGTCTCAAACTCCTGACCTCAGGCGATCCGCCTGCCTAGGCCTCCCAAAGTACTGGGGTTACAGGCGTGAGCCACTGCGCCCAGCAGAAACATAGAAACCTTAAAAGTGCCTCAGTGCCTAATTTCCTACCATTCTCCATCCTAGATTAAATGACATAAATGACTGATTATACTGTAATAATACCAATATCTATAAAGGGGAATTCTTTTATTCATATTAAAATAAACCAACTCTTCTAAAACCTAACAGAAAACTTGTCTAGTTTCCTAGTTTTATTGTAATTTGAGTAGAAAAAATGTTTCTTAGAGGATCCATTTTAGCACAGAATTGATTTCATTTATATCTTCAAATGATCAGAGCAATATTGTGTGCTATGTGTCTAATCTTTCACTGGCTACTATGGGGGAAATTTCAGGTGACACTAATGAATCTTTCAAGTTTCAGGAAGCTGAACAGGGATACAGCCAACTGGTGAAGTATCCTGGAAATAATGAATAGTGAGGACATACTATCAGAAAAAAAAGACAAATTTTTGTTACTATCATTAAATATAGGGCTTTTTTAAAAGCACCCTTTTTATTGTATTCAAATATCTAATTTATCATGTGTACTTTTAAAAAGAAGGACATTTTTAACAAAATTTGCTTTGGAACTATGGAATTGAGACAGAAGGGCTGCTATCAACATATAATCATTATTGGTGCTAAACAATTCAAGATTTGTAAAGATTTGGCAGAATTTGGGGGACCTTCCAATAGTAAGTGTGTAGTATTTCTGAACACAGAAAAGGAAGTGTTTTGGATAGCATTAGATTCCAACACGTTTCTCAAGCAGTTAAGTGCACTGAGGATTCCATCTGTGGCTTTTGTCCACCATTAGGTTCTCTTCAAGATCTGTCTGTGGATCAGAGAGGGAAATGTGGGCCACAAGTTGGGCAAAAATGGACCAGGGAGTTTTTATTCTTTTGATTATTGTGGTTATTATTAGTGGGTCAAATTTCAAATTATTTTCATTGCTAGGGAGAAAATAATTTTGCTTGCTTGGGTTTATTGGCTTACAGGTGGAAATTTAAAATATGGGCTTAACAAATCCTTACAGAAAACTGGACATTCTCCCCTCTATTCATATTTTATACAGCAGTGCAACAGAGATATTGGAATCTCACAGCTATTAAGATTCTGTGAACATAATTCACAGAATGCTTCCCTGAGGGGATGTCCACTCAAGTGACACTTCGGGTCTCTTTCTCTTCAGCATCTGTAACTCATTTATGAGGCTGGATCAATATTGTGGACCAAGTATGCTCCAGGTGTTTCTTTTACTGAAGTGGCTAACGTATTGAAGCAAGACCACCTTCCTAGCAAGAGAACAACCATTTATTTTTTGTTTTTGTTTTTGTTTATTTCTGGTCTGGGATATATAAGTTGGCATGTGCCTCTGCTAGAGGAGGCAGACACTGAGTTTTAGCTTCTGAATATACGTGTTTTCAATAACTATATAAAGGTAATTCTGTAATCCTCTCTGGCTTGAGGGTTTTGCAAAATTTTTCTCATGACAAATTGAAATTTTTAATATATTTGAGACCCATTGCGTTAGCGATTGTTGTGGACATTTTATTGCCAAAGAATGCTCCTGAGTGAAGAGACACATATTTGTTTAATTTCTAATCCCATGTTCATTGAGCTTTACTTGACAATACTCAAAAGATTTCTCAATGATCCCCAAACTTTTCCTTTTTAAAAAGCAAATTCTGTAATTTTTCCTTTTATTGCTCCTTATATTTTTCTGTATTAACTCCCTTGCCGTTTTTGTGTTTTCCCAATCTTGATCTTGTATTTGGACCAGTAATACCCATATCTCCTCCAACTTTCTTAGGAAAATATCTAGGTTTTTTTGGAACAAGGAGCTTATATAATTCTGTGTGAGGGACTCTTAAGAGAAAGGATATAATATTATCATAACCCACCAGAGCCTTGGAAGAGGCCTGTGCAAATGAAGAGTTCCGAAGATTGAGTTTAATTAGCTTCATGCGAAATCTGCCCATAACTGTTAATTTATCCCAGACCTGATTGTCCTTTCCATTGATTTCTCATTATATATTCATTAGAGGACAACTAACAGAGCTTATGCTGCTAAGCATAAGCTTAAAATTTATTCAGCACACCATTTTCACTTACTACAAAGAAACCAGTTTTGCAAAGAAGCAGCAGTGGACTTGGCAGAAATTCTGAGACTTAATTCTTAACGATGTAAATCTGTCTATGAATAAAACTGGAGCTAGATGGGATTATAAACTAGGCAGGCAATGCAACCTTCACTCTGAGCAATGCAACTTTCACTTTAAAAGAGAGGGAGCAGAAGAAAGAGAGGCATGGATGGAGGTGACAAACAGGAAAGCAGTGTATTTCTTATTGTGAAAAAGAATAAATAAATTTAAAGGAATTTCAGAAGCTGTTGACAATAGTGAGTTAACAGATATATTAACTTTTTGGTATATTTAGTTGATGTTCAACATATCTATTCCTACTGCTAGAGAAATAGTGTGAACTGATAGACTTCAGCCTTTGAAATTAAATAGACCTCAGTATAAACCCTGGCTCTGACACTTAATAGCTGTGAGACTCTAATATCTCTGTTGCACTGCTGTATAAAGTATGAATAGGAGAATGTCCAGCTTGCTGTAAGGGTTTGTTATGATGTATGTGAGTGTGTATGTATGTGTACATATATGATACTGAATGAATCAGCAGTCATAGCATTATTAGTATGAAACAATCAATATGTGTGTATATATACCTGTATACACATATATGATGGGTATATCATATATACATATAAATGATATAATGGCCATTAAATAAAAATTATAGATTAAATATTTATAAATATCCATATTTAAGACAGAGCAATAAACCTGTCATTTAAATGATTTCCAGTGTTATCTACTTTATTATTATTATTATTACTATTATTTTTGAGACAGAGTCTTGCTCTGTCACTCAGACTGCAGTGTAGTGGTGTGATCTTGGCCCACTGCAGCCTCCACCTCCCTGGCTCAAGCAATCCTCCTACCTCAGCCTCCAGAGTACCTGGGCCTACAGGTATGAGCTATCACTCCTGGATAACTTTTGTATTTTTTTAGACAAGATTTATCCATGTTTTCCAGGCTCATCTGAAACTCCTGGGCTCAAGTGATCCGCCTGCCTCACCCTCCCAAAGTGCTGAGATTACAGGTGTGAACCACCACACCCAGCCAGTCTTCTATTTGTTTAAAAAATTTCATTAAGTATTTTGCTTTTATTATAATCATAGTAATAATTTTGTGGATAAATGAATGCATTTTTCATTTTTTTCTTTTGCATTGCAGCTTGAATCAAGCAGCCATATTCCCTTACCTGCCTCTCTCTCAAAGTTGCATTCTAGCAACTGTAATTTAAACTAATGTTCTTATTAAATAATTTGTTTTAGGGACAAAAATTAATCAAAGTGATAATGGCTTTTCCATTCTCATAAGCATTATTCTGTTAAAGTTATGAACCATCTTGAGTTCTGAGTTATAAGAATAAAGTGAGTTGGGGTATCTGAGATTTAAAAAGATTATTTATTGGAATTCTAGATAATGCTCATATTTGACAGCACCAGTATTTGAAAAGAAAGAGAAATCTGCATAATTATTAAGGAGTAAGTTGGAAAACCCATATCAGAAATCTGGTATCACTAAGAGCCTAGTTCATTGATTTTTCACACTTCAGATTGGGGTTTATAGTGAGATGTGAAATCAATTTCTAAGTCCTGATCAGCATCTTAAAATGGAATAGAATTAAGCAGAATAGAACAAAACAGAATAAAAAGTAGGAACAGTGGGTTAAATGAGTAGTTCTACAGAATATCATCTCCCCATCCCTGATCATTCACTAAAGAGTTAATGTATTAAGCGAGATCATAAAACTGGACAATTCTAAGTAATAAACTAGCTCTCTGACATATTCTAAAGTTCACTTAATTCTACTAAAATAATTTTACATATATAATATTGTTTTCTAATTGAGCAATACTTTACAGAAAACAAAGTGAAAATATTTTAATTATACAGTTCAATAAGTTTTCACAAACATATGCATCCATTTAACAACTACCCGTATTAAGATCAAGGTTTCTGTCATTTCAGAATGTTCCCCTGTACCTCTATCTAGACAGTACTTGAACCCATGTAGATACACTTACTGTTTATATTTGTCAACATCCTTTAGTGTTTCCCCTTAAAGTACTTCATGTGAATGGAAACATTAAAATCTGATGTGTTTTGAGCCTGGGTTCTTTCACTCAACATGTTTTTGAAGCATTTTTCACATTGATTCGAATATTACAGGTTCATCATTTTTATTTCTTTTCACTAGTGAATTGAATACACATACTAAATATTTATAATACTGATAAACATTTGGATTGTTTCTATGTTTTGGCAACTATGAAAAAAGCTGTGGTAAATATTTTTACACACATCTTAGAAAGAATATATGTTCTATTTTTGGCCCCAGAGTCACTGATTCATAGGATAAGGTACATAGTAACTTTATTTTTTAAAAACTCCCAAACTGTTTTCCAAAGTGCTGGTATCCTTTTACATTCATGCCCAGCAATGTATTTATCAATCTTCTACAATTTAGCTAAAAAAGTGTGAAATAGTAAATCTTACTAATTTTAATCTGTGTTTTCTTACTGACTATTGACTTTTGAGAACCTTTCATTTGCTAAATGGCAATTTCTATATCTTATTTAGAGAAATGGTGATTGGAAACCATTGCCCATATCAGATGTTTGTCATTCTTGTCATAGGAGTTATTTATATGTTATAAGTTCTTTGTCTTGTGAAATAAAATATTTTCCCCACTTTTGACTTACTTTTTAATTTCCTTAACAGTATTTTTAATAAACAGAGCCTTTAAATACTTTTAATAAAATACAGACTATTTTCTCTTATGATCAGTGGCTTCTGCATCCTAAGAACTTTTTGCTAATTTCAAGGTCGTGAGCATATTCTCCTCTGTTTTTTCAAGAAGGTTTATGATTACAGCTTGTATATTTAGATTTGTGATTCAACACAAATATATTTCTATATGATGAAAGAGAGCAATGTGGGTTTATTTTTCTTATGGGTATCCAATTGTTTTAGCACCATTTGTTGAAAAGATTATCTTTTCCCTCATTGAATTGGTTGGCATTGTTGTCAAAAATTAATTGACCATAACTGTAAAGGTATACTTCTGGACTCTCAGTTCTATTTTATTGACTTATATGTTTATTCTTAAGCTAGTATCACGTTGTCTTTATTATGCTAGCTTTACAGTAAGTCGTGAAATCAGGTCTTCCATACTTAGACTGGTCATTCAAGATTGGTTGATCATATCTCTTTTGTATTTCCATATACATTTTAGAATCAGCTTGTAAATTAGTGTCCCCCAAAAGAAGTTAGACAATGTTTTTATTAGAATTGTGTTGACTCCATAGGTTCATTTGATAAGAATAGGCATCTTAATATTGAATCTTCCAATCCATTAATGTGGTATGTCACTTATTTACATTTTGTTGATTTCAGTGTAGAGGTCTTGTGTACTTTTGTTAATTTTATTTCTATGGCTTTCATGCTTTGCTGCTGATAAAAATACTATTGTTTCAACTTTTGGTTTTGCTAGTATATGATAATAATTTTTTTTTATATTGAGTATATATCCTTTGACTGTGCCAAATTCACTCATTAGTTCTGGATTCCTTAATATTTTCTCTCCCTATAATTATGTCATTTGTAAATAAAGATTGTTTTACAGCTATTTTTTTTTAATGCTTGTGCCTTTTAAAAATTGCCTTAAAACACTACCAAGCATCCTCAGTAAAGTGATGAGAATGGATATCCTTGCTTTGGTAATTGCTATCTATGGTCTGAATATGTCCCCAAAAATTAATATGTAGAAACTTAATTTCCAATGTGATAATATTAAGAAGTAAGACCTTTAGGAGGTTAGTAAGTCATGAGAGTAGAACCTTCATGGATGGAATGACGGCTTTTATAATATTGAAGCAGTGAGTTTATTCTGTTCTGCTCTTCCACTGCGTGAGGACAAGGGAACAGCATCTGTTGCTTTTGCCCTTCTATCTTTTCTGCCTTGTGAGGACGCAGCAAGACGCACCATCTTGGAATCAGAGAATAGCTGTTACCAGACACCAAATATTCCCAACATATTAATCTTGTATTTCCAGACTCCACAACCGTGAGAAACAAATTTCTATTCTTTATAAATTACCCTTTCTCAGGTATTTTGTTATAGCAGAACGAATGGACATAAAAAGAAAGTGTATACAATTTTACAATTAAGCATAGTGTTAACGACAGTATTTTTAACAAGGGTATTTTATTAGATTGAGGAATTTCACTTCTGCTAAATAGTGTCAAATCTATTGAGAAGATATTGATTTTCTCCTTTATTCTGTAAAAGGGCGAGTTACATCAATTATTTCAAAATGTTAACGTAAGCAATGTTTTAGAAAAACTTAAAATTTATATTTCTGGCTTATGTTCTTGCTAGTCACTGATTTTATGGTTTTCTTCTGGTTAGAAAAAATATTGCAAACATAATATTCGTTTGTTCTGGTTATTGCTGAATATGGCTTCCTAGCCATTATTATACACAAAACTACTACTTTGAAAGTTATTTTCTTAACTTATAATTATTTTTGGAAGACCATTGATTCCTAGTTTCACTGGTAATGTCACTTCTCATTGAAATAATTAAAATTACTCTTAAGCTCATATTTAAATGCTATAGAAATTTAATTTAATCAGATATTCTTATACTGAATTTTTAAAAACTCAGAATAATTTTTCTAAACAAAAATAATGCAAAAACAAGTTTTCTAAATCCAATAATTAATCTTGAAAGAATTTTGAACTTACAGAAAGGGATAATTGTCATAACTAATAATGAAAATCCTTAATTGATAAGTACAGTCTAGACACAAGTGATACAAATAATTTCCTACAGAGCTGAACATTTTTAGTTAACTGTTATTTTACTGTTCATATTAAATTGAAGTATCATACATTTGTATTTTTCTATTATTTTATATTGTCTTGTGTGCCTCATTGAATGAATATAATAGATACTGATGTTGTAGTTTTGTTTGCCTTTTTTTGTTTTGAGATTAAGAAATTTCTAGTTATTTTTAAAAGAAGGACAAAACAGTGAGTAAAGAGTCAGTTTCACATATTGCTTTAAAACGGTACATGATGGGGTAAATTTAGCAAAATCTAACAAACTTATACATTCTGTCTCTCTTTCTCTTTCATTGCACATACTTTTTTATTTTTTATTTTTACTTTTTTGTTTTTGCATATACTATTTTATATTTGCCGATATGTATTCTTAGGATGGGTTCTTAGGAACAAATTGAATCAAAGCCACGTGAAGAAACTGGGGTGCTTAACATATCTGAAATCACCATTTATTTTAGATCTGTAATAATTACATCAGTTTAATATTGTATATGAAAGTAGTTCTAATAAATAGAGATTACGTACAGATCCATTGATACATGACAGATATTTCAGCATATACCAATGAGGACAGAAATGGCTATTCAACCAATGGAAAGTGGTCTCACAGTTCCTGGTCCCTGTTACTGATCTTTCCACTCTGCCTCCATGTGATCAATTTTTTTTTAATTTTTATTTTTTGAGACAGAGTTTCACTCTTGTTGCCCAGACTGGAGTTCAATGGCATAACCTCGGCTCACTGCAACCTCCGTCTCCTGGGTTCAAGCAATTCTCCTGCCTCAGCCTCCCGAGTAGCTGGGATTACAGGCGTGCGCCATCACGTCTGGCTAATTTGGTATTTTTAGTAGAGACGGGGTTTCACCATTTTGGCCAGGCTGGTATCAAACTCCTAACCTCAAGTGATCCACCCGCCTCAGCCTCCCAAAGTGCTGGGATTACAGGCATGAGCCACGGCTCCCGGCTGTGATCAAATTTTTTAGATTCCAAATATAAATGAGAACATGCACTATTTCTGTTTTGTACATGGTTTATTTCACTTAAGATAATGACATCCAGTTCCATTCATGTTGCTTCAAATACCATAAATTCATTCTCTTTTCCTTTTTTTCTCCCTAATTTTTAGTTTTTGTGGGTACATAATAGGTATACATATTTATGGGGTATATGGGATATTTTAATACAGGCATACAGTATGTAATAATCACATCAGAGTAAATGGGGTATCCTTAACATCAAGCATTTATCCTTTGTGTTATAAACAATCCAATTACATACTTTTATTTCTTTTAAGATGTACAATTAAATTATTATTGACTATAGTCACCCTGTTGTGCTATCAAATGCTAGGTCTTACTCATTTCTTCTAACTATTGTTTTGTACCCATTAACCATTCCCACTTCCTTCCCACCCCCTCACTACCCTTCCCACCCTCTGGTAACCATCATTCTTCTCTTTATCTGCATATGTTCAATTGTTTTAATTTTTAGCTCCCACAAATAACTGAGAATATGAAAAGTTCATATTTTTGAGCCTGGCTTATTTCACTTAACATAATGGCCTCTGGTCCCATATATGTTGTGGTAAATAACAGGATCTCTTTCTTTTTACAGCTGAATAGCACTCCACTGTGTATATTTACCACATTTTCTTTATTCATTCGTCTGCTGACAGACATAGTTTGCTTTTAAATCTTGGATATTGTGAATACTGCTGCAATAAACACGGGAGTGCAGATATCTCTTTGATATATAGATTTAGATTTTCATTATTTGGGGTGTATACATAGCAGTGGGATTGATGGGTCGTATGGTAGCTTTATTTTTAGTTCTTTGAGGAACCTCCAAACTGTTCTTCATAGTGATTGTATTAATGTACATTACCACCCAGTGTGTATGAGAGTTCCCTTTTCTCCACATCCTTGCCAGCATTTGTTATTGCCTGTCTTTTGGATAAAAACTTTTTAATTGGAGTAAGATGTAGTTTTGATATGCATTTTTCTGATGTTCAAAGATGTTGAGCACTTTTTCAAATATCTCATATGCCATTTGTATGCCTTCTTTTGAGAAATGCCTACTCATAGCTTTTGCCCAGTTTTTAATCAGAATATTAGATTTTTTCCTATATAGTTATTTGAACTCTGTATATATTTCAGTTATTAATCCATTATCAGATGGATAGTTTGCAAATATTTTCTCCCATCCTGTGGGTTGTCTCTTCATTTTGTGAAATGTTTTCTTTGCTGTGCAGAAGCTTTGTAACTTGAAATGATTCCACTTGTCCATTTTTGCTTTGATTGCCTGTGCTTTGGGGTATTACTTAAGAAATGTTTGCCCAGAATAATATCCTGGAGAGTTTCTCTAATGTTTTCTTTTAGCAGTTTCATAGTTTGAGGACATCAATTTAAGTCTTTAATCCATTATGATTTGATTTTTGTATATGGTAAAAGATATAGGGTCTAGTTGTATTTTTCTGCTTAAGAATATCCAGTTTTTGAGCATCGGTTATTGACAATGCTGTCCTTTACCTAAGTATGTTCATGGCACTTTTGTCAAAAATGAGTTTACTTATATGTATGGATTTGATTCTGAGTTATCTATTCTGTTCTATTGGTTTATGTGTCTGTTTTTATGACAGTAACATGCTATTTTGGTTATTATAGTTCTGTAGTATAAATTGAAGACAGATAATGTGGCTTTTTCAGTTTTGTTCTTTTTCTTTAGTACAGCTTTGGCTATTCTGGGTCTTCTGTGGTTCCATATAAGTTTTAGGATTTTTTTTATTTCTGTATTTTGATAGAGATTGCATTGAATATGTAGATGTATGGACAGTTTAACAATATTGATTCTTCCAATCCACGGATATGGAATATTTTCCCATTTTTCTGGTGTCCTCTTCAATTTCTTACATCAATGTTTTGTAATTTTTATTGCAGAGATCTTTCACTCCTTTGGTTAAGCTAATTCCTAGGAATTTTATTTTATTTGTAGCTATTGTAAATGGTATTACTTTCTTTATTTTCTTTTCAGGTTGCTCACTGTTGGCATATATAAATGCCATTGATTTTTTGTATGTCGATGTTGTATTCTGCAACTTTACTGAATTTGTTTATCAGTTCTAATAGTTTTTTGTGGAGTTTTTAGGTTTTTCCAAACATGAGATCATATCATCTGCAAACAAGGAAAATTTGACTTCTTCCTTTCTAATTGTGATGCCCCTTATTTATTTCCCCTCTCTGATTGCTCTAGCCAGGACTTCCAGTACCTTGGAACTTCCAGTACTATATCCCCTCTCTGTTGCTCCAGCTGGGACTTCCAGTACTATGTGTTTCACTCTGCTGAATAACAGGGTGAAAGTTTACATCCTTGTTGTGTTCCAGATCTCAGAGGAAAGACTTTCTGTGTTTCCTCATTCAGTATGATACAGTTTCCTGAAGCCTCCCCAGCCACGCCTTCTGTACAGCCTGTGGAACTGTGAGGAAACTAAGCCTCTTTTCTTTATAAATTATCCACTGTCAGGTAGTTTTTCATAACAGTGTGAGAACGAACCAACACACAATTTAATTATACTCTTTAAGTTATTTTAAAATTTACAATTAAATTATTATTGACTGTAGTCACCCTGTTTTGCCATCAAGTAGTAGTTCTTATTCATTATTTCTGGTTTTTGTACCCATTAACCATCCCCCACATCCCCCCAGCTCCCCACTGCCCTTCCCAGCCTCTAGTAACCATCCTTCCACAGTGGGTCTGTCATATACGGCTTTTATTATGTTGAGGTATGCTCGTTCTCTACCCGGTTTTTCAATGACTTTTATCATGAAAGGATGTTGAATATTATCATGTGAGTTTTCGGCATAAATTGAAATGATCATATGCTTTTTATCCTTCATTATGTTTATATGATGTATGGCATTGATTGATTTGCATATGTTGAATCATCCTTGCATCCCAGGGATAAATCCCACTCCCTCATGATGAATGACCTTTTTAATGTGTTGTTGTTGAATTCAGACTGCCAGTATTTCGTTGAGGATTTTTCCATCAATGTTTATCAGACATATTGGCTAATGTTTTCCTGTTTTTGATGTTTCTCTGGTTTTGCTACAAGAGTAATTCTGGACTTATGAGTTTGGAAGTAGTCCTTCTGCCTCTATTTTTTGGAATAGTTTTTAGTAGGATTGGTATTAGCTTTTTTTTTTCCCCCCCAAGGTAATTTAACTCTTTTTATTGTACTTTAAGTTCTGAGATACATGTGCAGAACGTGCAAGTTTGTTATACAGGTATACACGTGCCACGGAGGTTTGCTGCACCCACCAACCCGTCATTTGCATTAGATATTTCTCCTAATGCTATCCCTCGCCTTAGTTCTTAAAGAGTTTAATAAAATTTATCAGTGAAGCCATAGCATCCTGGGAGTTTCTTTGCTGGGAGACTCTTTTTATGGCTTTGATCTCATTATTTGTTATTGGTCTGTTCAGTTTTTTGATTTCTTCATAGTTCAATTTCAGTAGATTGTATATGTCTAAGAATGTATTCATTTGTTTGAGGTTTTCCAATTTGTTGACATAGAGTTGCTCATAGGAGCCTCTAATGAGCCTTTGGTTGTAATGTCTCCTTATTCATCTCTGATTTTATGTATTTGGGTCTTCCCTCTCTTTTACTTAGGCTGGCTAAAAGTTTGTTAATTTTGATTATTTTTTCAAAATTCCAGCTTTTGGCTGCATTAATCTTTTTTTATTGTTTTCTTCACTTCGATTTCATTCTGCTCTCATCTTTATTATTTCTTATCTATTACTAATTTTGGATTTGGTTTGCTTTTGCTTTTCTATTTCTTTAGGATACATTGTTGGGTTGCTCATTTGATATTTTTCCTTTTTTTCGTTTTGGGCACCTATAGCTATTAGTTTCCCTCTTAGTACTGCTTTTGCTGTATCCCATAGGTTTTAATATTTTGTGTTCCATTATCATTTGCTTCAAAAATTTTTCAATTTTCTTCCTAATCTTTTCATTGACTAACTGGTCATTCAGGAACATATTGTTTAATTTCCATGTGTTTATACAGTTTCCAAAATTCCTCTTGTTTTTTATTTCTAGCTTCATTCTATTGTGGTCAGAAAAGATACTTGGTGTTTTAAATTTTTTTAATGTTTTAAAACTTGCTTTGTGGCTTTAAATATAGTCTATCCTTTAGAATGATCCATGTGCTGAAGGTAAGAATTTGTATTCTGCAGCCAGTCAAAGAAATGTTCCATAAATATCAATTATGTCCATATGATAATCTATAGTGCAGATTAAGCCCAATGTTTCTTTGTTGATTTTCCCTCTGGATGATATGTTCAATGCTGAAAGTTGAGTGTTGAAGTTTCTGGCTATTATTGTATTAGGATCTATCTATTTCTTTAGCTCTAATATTTGCTTTATATATCTGGGTGTTCCAGTGTCAGGTGCATTTATATTTTTACAATAGTTACAACTTCTGACTAAATTGCCCCTTTATCTTATATAGTGACCTTATTTGTCTCTTCTTATAGTTTTTGTCTTGAAATCTATTTTGTCTGATATAAGTTTAGTGAAACTTGCTCTTTTTTGTTTCCATTAGCGTGGAATATATATATATATATATAGGTGGGTACATAGAAGGTGTGTATATTTATGGAGTACATGAGATGTTTTGATAGAGGCATGCAATGTGAAATAAGCATGCCATGGAAAAAGGGGTATCATGGAGAAAGGGATGGCTACCTCCCCTTGAGAATCTATCCTTTGAGTTACAAACAATCTGGTATAGTTTGCTTCTGTGTTCCCACTCAAATCTCATGTCAAATTGTAATTCCCAATGTTGGGGGAGGGACCTGGTGGGAGGTAATTGGATCATGGCAGCAGATTTCCCCTTTGCTGTTCTCGTGATATTGAGTCAGTTCTCACAAGATCTGGTTGTTTAAAAGTATGTAGCACTTCAACCTTTGGTCTTTCTTTCCTGCTCCACCATGGTAAGACGTGCTTGCTTCTCCTTTGCCCTTCTGCCACGATTGTAAGTTTCCTGAGGCCTCCCCAGCCATGCCTTCTGTACAGCCTGTGGAACTGTGAGGAAACTAAGCCTCTTTTCTTTATAAATTACCCATTGTCAGGTAATTCTTCTTAACAGTGTGAGAACAAACCAACACATAATTCAATTACACTCTTTATTTTAAAATTTACAATTAAATTATTATTGGCTGTAGTCACCCTGTTGTGCTATCAAACAGTAGTTTTTATTCATTATTTCTGTTTTTGTACCCATTAACCGTCCCCCACCTCCCCCCAGCTCCCCACTGCCCTTCCCAGCCTCTAGTAACGATCCTTCCACTCTCTATGTACGTGAGTGCAATTGTTTTGATTTTTGATCCCCAAAATAAGTGAGAACATGTAATGTTTGTCTTCCGTGCCTAGCTTATTTCACTTAACAAAATAATCTCCACTTCCATCCATGTTGTTGCAAATGTTTCATCCCATCATTTT
This sequence comes from Homo sapiens, assembly GCF_000001405.40. Taxonomy (NCBI): domain Eukaryota; kingdom Metazoa; phylum Chordata; class Mammalia; order Primates; family Hominidae; genus Homo; species Homo sapiens. The sequence goes on from NC_000023.11 coordinate 36,630,250, forward strand.
CAGTCTATGTGTGTCTTTATAGATGAAATGTGTTCCTTGTAGGCAACAGATCACTCGGTCTTGTTTTTTTGTATCCATTTAGCCACTCTATGTCTTTTGATTGGAAAGTTCATTTCATTGACATTTAATGTTATTATTGATAAGTAAGGACTTACTTCTGCCAGTTTATTATTTGTTTTATGGATGTTTCCTGGTCTTCTCTTCCTTCTTTCTTTCCTTCCTGTCTTCCTTTTAGTAAAGATGATTTTCTCTGATGATATGATTTAGCTTCTCTTAATTTTTTGTGTATTCACTGTATGTTTATTAGTTTGAGGTTACCATAGACTTGCAAATAGCATCTTATAACCTATTATTTAAAACTGATGGCAACTTAACACTGATTGCATATACAAGCAAAAAGAAAATAAATAAAAACTCTATAACTTTGTCTCCCTGCTTTTTAAGTTTTTGTTTTTTTCTATTTGTATCTCATTGTACTGTCTCTGTCATGACAAATTGTTTTAGTTATTTTTGATCATTTCATTTTTTTGTCTTTCTTCTTAAGATATGAGCCATTTACACATCACAATTTTGGTGTGATAATATTCTTTTTTTTCCTGCGTGCTTACTATTACCAGTGAGTTATGGACCTTCAGATGATTTCTTATTGCTTATTGGCAATTTTTTGTTCATATTGAAAAACTCCTTTTAGCATTTCTTGTAAGACAGATCCAATGTTGATGAACTCTCTCAGCTTTTGTTTGTCTGGGAAGTATTTATTTCTCTTTTATATTTGAAGGATATTTTTACCAGATATACTTTTCTAGAGTAAAAGTTGTTCTGCTTCCGCACTTTAAATACGACATGCTACTTTCTCCTGGACTATACTATACAGTTTCTACTGAATAGTTTTCTTGCAGACATATTGGAGTTTCTTTGTATGTCACTTGTTTCTTTACTATTGCTGCTTTTAGAATCTTTCCTTGTCCTTACCCTTTAGGGTTTGATTGTTAAATGCCTTGAGATAGTCTTCTTTTGGTTATATCTTCTTGGTTTTTTATATCTTTGTTGTACTTGGATATTGACATCTTTCTCTAGATTTGGAAAGTTCTGTGTTATTATCCCAATGAGTAAACTTTCTACTCCTATCTCTTTCTACCTCCTGTTTAAGGCCAATAACTCTTATATTTGCCCTTTTGAAGCTATTTTCTTGATCTTTTAATCATGCTTCTTTGTTTTATACTCTTTTTTATTTTGTCTCCTCTATATATTTTTAAATATGTAGACTATATTTTTAAATAGCCTGTCTTTAAGCTCACTAATTATTTCTTCTGCATGATTAATTCTGCTATTAAAAGACCAATGCATTTTTCAGTATGTCAGTGGCATTTTTCAGCTCCAGAATTTCTGCTTGACTATTTTTAGTTATTTTAATTTCTTTGTTAAATTTATCTGATAGAATTCTAAATTTCTTCTCTGTGTTATCTTGAATTTCTTTGAGTTTCTCAACACAGATATATTGAACTCTCTGTCGGAAAGATCACATATATCTGTTTCTCTGGGATTGGACCCTGGTGTCTTATTTAATTCGTTTGTTGGTGTCCTGTTTTCCTGGATGGTTTTGATATTTGTGGATGTTCATCAGTTTCCAGGCATTGAATTGTTAGATGTTTATTGTAGTCTTCACAATCTGAGCTTGTTTGTATGCATCCTTGCTGGGAAGGTTTTCCAGGTATTCAATGGGACTTTGGTGTTATAATCCAATGTTTTTTCATTGTAGTCTTATCTGCATTACCCCAAGCCCAATAACGCTGTAGTCCTTGCAGACTTGTAGTTGTACCACCTTGGTGGTCTTGGATAAGATTTGGGAGAATTCTCTGGATTACCCGTTAGAGACTCCTGTTCTGTTCCCTTAATTTATTCCAAACAAATGGAGTCTTTCTCTGTGCTGAGCTACCTAGTGCTGGCGAAGGAGTGACACAAGCACGACTGTGTCTACCACTACTGGGATTGTGCTCGATCAGACCTGAAGCCGGCAGAGCACTGGGTCTTGTCAAAAGCTGCTATAACCATTACCTGGTTACTACCTATGTTCACTCAAGGCTGTAGCACTCTATAATCAGCAGATCATGAAGCCAGTCTTATGTCCTTCCCTTCAGGGTGGAAAGTTCCCTGGGGCCCTGGGTGGGTACAGAGATGCCATCTGGGAGCCAGAGATCAGAGTAGAAAATCCCCCAAATCCATCTGGTGCTCTTTTCCATGGTGGTTAATCTGGAACTGAAACCAGAAGACATGGTTCTTCCCATTCTTCCCTCCCCTTTCCTCAGGCAAAGGAGTGTCTCCTTGTGTCCACCATCACCACAGGCCTATGGGGGAGTACTGACAGCATACCCGTGATGTTCATTTAAAGCCAAATGGCTTCCAATATGCTAGTGGTGATTCTACCAGGCCTGGGACTCACCTTTCAGGACAATTGACTCCCCTCTTTGCCAGGGTATGTCCAGAAATTCCATCCAAGATCCAAAGCCTGGAATTGGGGACTCCTAGAGACCACTTGGTGCTCTTCCTCACTTTGTCCAAGCTCGTACCTAAGTTGCAAGACAAAGTCCCCTATATTCTTCCCTCTTCTTTTCTCAAGCAGAAAAAGGTCTTTCCTTGAGGCCACCACAGCTGTGAATATGCTGGGTCACACCTAAATGAAGCACGACTCAGAGTCTCACCCAAGGCTCAAGGCATAGATTACCTCCTTATAGTTGCTGATTATTCAGGGCTCAAGTTCTCTTAAGTCAGCAGGTGCTGAACCCTGTCAAGACTGGGTCCTTCCCTTCAAGGCAGTGCATTACATTCTAGGGTGGATCTAGAAATGTCATCTGGGAGCTAGGGCATGGAATGAGGCCTCATGACTCTGCCCAGTGCCCTATCCTACTGTGGCTGAGCTGGTATTTAAGTTGCAAAACAAAGTCATCTTTACTCTTTCCTCTCCTCTTCTCGAGTGTAAAGTTGGGATTTCTTTTGTTATTGTAGGCTGTGTTGTCTGGGGTTGTGGGAGGGGTGGAGCAAGCATTCAATCTGCCTAGGCTGATATCTCACTGGGTTATGTGATCCCTAAATCCACTGGCTCTGAGCCCAGTACAGTACTAGGACTTGCCTAGAAGTTGCAGGCCTTGTGGCCTAGACAGCCTTTCTAGTTTATTTAGAGCCCTAGAGTACATTAGCCTGCAATGACAAGGCTGCTGAAACTCAAGTTCCAACTGCTGGGATAGGTAATTCTCCTCTGGCTGGGGCTAGTCTATATGCTCCCTCCATGGGTGCTGCTGAGTTCTGCCGTGTGTCCCCATAATCACTGTGCTCTCCCTCCCCCAATTCATAGATTCTTTCTCTGTGCCACATGGGCCACTACCAGAGGACTGGGGAGCAGTGATGTTAGCAATTCAAACTGTCTCTTCTACCCTCTTCAGTGTCTCTTTTAGTGATATGAAGTTGTTAAAACCAGGTACTATGATTGCTCACCTGATTTATGAAGGTGGTTTTTGTATAGATAGTTGTCAAATTTGGTTTTCCTGCAGGGAGAATAATTGATGGAGACTTCTATTCACTTATCCTTCTCCTGCCCCCTCCAATTTTATTCTTTTTTATGGCTGAATTGTATTCCATTGTGTATATATACCACATTTCCTTTATCCATTCATCAGTTGCTGAACACTTCGGTTGATTTCATCTTTTTGCTACTGTAAATAGTGCTTCAATAAACATATGAGTTCAGATTTCCCTTTCATATATTGATTTCTTTCCCTTTGGTTAGATACCCAGTAGTGAAATTGCTGGACCAAATGATAATTCTATTTTTAGTTTTTGGAGAAATCTCCAGCTGTTTTCCATAGTGGCTGTACTAGTTTACATTCCCACCAACAATATATAAGAGTTCCCTTTTCTCTGCATTCTCGCCAACGTCTATATTTTTTCTTTTTGGTAATACCCATTCTGACTGGGGTAAGATGATATCTCACTGTGGTTTTGATTTGCATTTCTCTGATGATTACTGATTTTGAGAATTTTTTAATATATCTGTTGACCATTTGTATATCTTCTTTTGAGAAATGTCTATTCATGTTCTTTGACCACATTTTAATGGAATTACTTGGTATTTCCTATTGAATTGTTTGAGTTCTTTGTATATTCTGGAAAATAGTCCCCTGTCAGATGAATCATTTGCAAACATTTTCTCCCATTCAATAGGTTGTCTCTAATCTGCTGATTATTTCTTTTAGCATTCAGAAGCTTTTTAGTTTAATTAAACACATTTATCTATTTCGGTTTTTGTTGCATGTGCTTTTGAGATCTTGTCATACATTATTTGCCTAGACAACATCCAGGAGAGTTTTCTCTAGGTTTTCTTCCAGTATTTTAAAAGTTTTGGGCCTTACCTTTATGTCTTTGATCTATTTTTACTTGATTTTTATATATGATGAGAAATAAGGGTCACGTTTTATTCTGCATGTGGTGATCCAATTTTACGAGTACCATTTCTTAAATAGAATTCCCTTTTCCAAATGTAAGTTCTTATCAGCTTTGTGAAAGATCAATTGGCTATAAATACGTGCTTTATGTCTGGATTCTCTATTCTCTTCCATTAGTTTGGTCCATTGGTCTATGTGTCTATTTTTATACCAATACCATGTTCTTTTGTTTCCTACAGCCTTGTAATACATTTTGAAATCAGGTAACATGATGCCTCCAGATTTGTTCTTTTGGTCAGGATTCCTTTGAATATTTTGCTCTTTTTTTTCTGTAAAAATTTTAGGATTTTTTTTCTAACTCTGTAAAAAATGTGGTATTGGTATTTGGATGGGATTGCATTGAATCTTTAGATTGCTTTGGGCAATATCACAATTTTAATATTAATTATTTTGATCCATGAGTATGAGATGTTTTTCCATTTGTTTGTGTGATCCTCAATTTCTATCATCAGTATTTTTTTATTTCTCCTGCAGAGATCTTTCACCTTCTTGTTGAAATATATTCCTAGGTATTTTATATTTTTGTGGTTATTGTAAATGCAGTTGCCTTCTTGATTTCTTTCTTGGCTGGATCATTATTCATGTATGAAAGTTCTACTAATTTCTGTATATTGATTTTGTAGCCAGAAACTTTACTGAGTTCATTTATAAAGCAAATAGTTTTTTGGTAGAGTCTTTAGGTTTTCCTGGATATAAGACCATATTAGCAAAGAGGGACAATTTGACTTTTACTTTTACAATTTAGAGGCTTTTTATTTATTTCCATTGCCTGATTGGTCTGTCTAGGACTTCCAGTAGTATGTTGATTAGAAGTGGTGAAAGTGGGCATCTGTGTCTTGTTCCAGTTCTTAGAGGAGAAGCTTTCAGCTTTTCCCTATTCAATATGATGTTAGCTATGGGCTTGTCACATATGGAAAGCTTTTCACTTTGTTGAGATACTTTTCTTCTATACCTAATTTATCGTGAAGGTTGTCAAATTTTATCAGTTGCTTTTTCTCCATATATTGAAATGATCATACGGTTTTTGTCTTTCATTCTGTTGATGTGCTGCATCAAGTTTATTGATCTGCATATATTGAACAATCCTTGCATTGAAGGGATAAATCCCACTAGATTATGGTGTATTTGCTAACTGTCATAACAGCTTTGAGTACGGACATAAGCCGGAAGTGGAGAACCCATTTCTTAAATGTTCCTAAGAGGTTCATAGATGCTGATCCTTCACAGAACCTGCAGTGAATGCAGTAGTATGCCATCTATGCCTATCCTTCAGGATTGAGGTACTCACACCCATGGCTGTCAGGTGTGACTGTAGCTACAAACACTCATCTGAGTCCTTTCTCCAAAATTTCCTTCAGCCATAGGAAAACCTCTCACCCAATGGCAACCCACATCCCGTCATTCCCCCTCCCCAGTGGCAACCCACATCCAGTGGATGGTCAATGCAGGGATATGAAGGTGAGTCTCATTCCCTCAATTTAAGATATCCTTGAAGGCAATGGCAGCTTGAGCACTCTGTATGGGATCAGTCAAGGCCTCTGTTGCAAGAGTATCATACTTCAGCCTTTTTTTTCTCTGCTTTTTATCCTGCTTCCTTCACTCCTTACAGATATTATGCTTGAGAACATTCTTGGCATGCAAAAATCCACCTCAAAGTCTGTTTCCCAGAGAATCAAGTCTAGATAGTTTGTGCCATGAGTGATCTGAAGAAGATTTGAAAATAGGACTTGGCAGTGGATCACCTGCTGGTCAGCTGGCAATGAAGACCACTTCACTAGTGGTACTTGGAATACTGATAGCTTCTGACACAATGTAGCAGTGTGACTGTTCAATCTTATCAACAGTAAAATGAGATAAAATGGTGGAAGGGAATGTACTAGAACAGGGATCCCCAAACCCCAGGATTTGGACCAGTACTGGTCTGTGGCCAGTTAGGCACAAGTTTGCACAGCAGGAGGTGAGCGATGGGCAAGAGAGCATTACTGCCTTATCTCAGCCTCCTGTCAGATTAGTGGCAGCATTAGATTCTTGTAGGAACGCGAACCCTGTTGTGAACTGTGCATGCAGAGGATTTAGGTTGTTCTCTTCTTATGATAATCTAACTAATTCCTGATGTAATGCCTGATGATCTGAAATGGAACACTTTCATCCTGAAACCATCCCCACCATTCCCCCTACCCCTTCTGTCATCCAGTCAGTCTGTGGAAAAATTGTCTTCCGTGAAATTTGTCCCTGGTGCCAAAATGATTGGGGACTTCTATACTAGAAGATGTAATATATCAGATTTTGAGAATTTCTGCAGAAGTAATAATTATATAAGCACTATGAAACTAGATGGTTGTTAACCAATGCACTGGTGAAAATCAAAAACAAGCTGAGTAAGGATCACCAGTTTAAGGTAGCAACTGAGCACTTCTTTACCAACATATGAATATAGTCTCATTCTTACAGAAAACCCTGAGAATCAGATAAGAACATAATTAAGAGTAGCAGAACGCAAGAAAAGGCTAAATTCTCAGCCAGCAAATCTGCTATACTAGTATCCAGATTGGGAAGGAGTAAGAGCCTGAGACTTGAGATGGGAACAATCTAGGTTAATTTACTTGACATTCTTGAGTCCTCAGATTTCCCTAAACTTCTTGGGCTTGCAGAAGTGAATTATCTCAGCAAATTCTCATTGCCACCTTGTGCCCCCACTTTCTGCCTTGCTTTCAACATAAGCCTTTTTCAGGATATATTCCAACTCCTTTTTAATCTCCAGAAAACAACTAAGTCTCAGTCACAACATAATACAGGAGGAAGAGTGCTGGATGTGCTAATAGAGGAAAGAAACTATGATATAAAAAAGTCTTAGGACCTAGAAAACATTTTCCAGAAGAATCTGGGAGACTACCCATGATTGTAGAATGATACACTACATAAGGCTGGGAGATCCACCAGGAGGCTATATTCCAATAGAAAATCCACTGGATACTCCATTTTCTAAGTGCTGAGACATGTGTTGGTGCAAAGGGATATCAAGTGACCATGTATCCATAATTGGTTAAATTATACTGCTTCTGTCAGACCCACCAAGTCATAAGACAAAGCAGGTCTAGGAGCATTCTATAATAAATGGAAGTGGTGTATGAAGGATTGGGCATGAGCAGAGATGAATACACAAGTAAACTTCCCAACAAGGTGGTCTATCTTCTACTGTTTTTATGAGCATCTCTTCCTCATTTCATACTGATGGCAGCATACGAGAGGCCCCTTGGGACTAGCTATCAGAAGAAGGGTCAGGGAGAGTAGTTTATAGATGAGTGTATAGGGGAATTTATTTTCTATATTCAACAAAGAAAATGTTTGTGACCAAATGTGTGGGGCTTTTTCTCACATAAACCAGTTCACCAACTCTCCAGACACCAACTGGAATCTTCTGGTTTAATTTAATTCTGACACTATCTATGTGATGATAGCATCAGATCTCACAGGTTAAGGGCTCACTCCCACAATACTGCCTCCATTTCAAGTGCCAATCACAAGTTCGGGTTGTTACTTGTGCTTCTGACTGACCAGCTGTTAATCAGAGATTCCCATGACTCCCTCCTTGGGTTCAATCATTTGCTACAATAGCATACATAATTCAGAAAAACAGTTTACTTACCAGATTACAGGCCTATTATAAAAGGATGCAACTCAGAAACAGCCAGCTGAAAGAGATGCATAGAGCAATTTATGTGGGAAGGGACATGGAGGTTCCATGACCTCTCCAGGTAACGTACCCTCCTAGCATTTCTACACGTTCAGCAACCAGAAAGCTCTCTAAACCTCTTCCTTGAGGGGTTTTATGGAGGCTTAATTATTTAGGCATGACTAGTAAAATCACTGGCCATTGGTGATCAGCTCAACCTCCAGCCCCTCTATCCTGCTTAAAGGTTGGGTGGTGGGGCTGAAAATTCCAGCCCTCTTGTAACATGGTTGATTCCCCTGGCAACCAGCTCCTATATTGAGGTTATCCAGGAGCCTAGCCACCAGTCGTCTCATAGGCACACAAAAAGACACTTACACTTTAGAGATTCCAAGGGGTTTAGAAGCTTCTGTGCCAGGAAACTGGACAAAAATGAACTATATATTTCTTATGATAAATTGCAACAAAAAACTACTGCAGCCCTACAGTCCTGCTTCATGGTGGTCTTGAACATCAATGATTATGAGAAATCCTCCAAATAGGCAGTCCTTCAAAAGGTTCAACGGGTCTTCTTTTATTATTAGGAAAGAAACAACCTGAGATAAGAATATAGCATCTCATGGGCAGTGGCAGATGGCTTGACAGGTTGATCAGTGTCCTGTCCATTCACTAATTGGAAGATTAGTGACGAAGACTGGGCAAGAGACATGTGGATGGAGCTATGGAAGTGAGCATAAAAGGTAAAGGTTTTAGTATCATAAATTAATGCTTACTTGAGACTATGCATCATGTAAGATACACTTAACAACCAGTTTTTCTAAATGATTTTGCTAGTTATCAACTGCCATTCTATAACATCCAGTGTCTGTAGCTGGCAAAGTGAAGACACAGAGTAACCAGAGTAGAATAGAGAATATCCCTGGAACCAACAGCATGCACTCCAACATATCAGGCTGGCTTTGCCACTGTGTCTGCCGAACATCCAACCTGCCAGCAACAAAGGCCAAAACTGAGACCCAGTACATCATCATACTTCAAGAAAACCAACCAACTGCATGGTGGCAAGGTGATTACATTGGACCCCTTCCAGCTTGCAAAGGGCAGTAATTCATTGTGACTAAATTCAACATATATTTCAGGTATGAGATTTTTCTTCCTACCTAAATGGCACCAGCCAGGACCACTATTCAAGGGAATACACACAGATACATGATCTTACAAAGCCTCACATTGTACCAAGAGATCAACCTTATATTAAAGGAGACGAGGCAGTCAGCAAATGGCCATGACTTCCTCCAAATATTACCTTCTACTGCATCACCAAAAAGTTGTTGGTTTGATACAGAAATAGAAAAGATTTTAAAGGTGCAGCTCAAGTACTAATTTGAATACAATAGCCTGTGATGGTGGAGTGCCTTTGCCACTGTATACAACCCAAATTTATTAGCATTGTATGGTACTGTGAGACAATACGTAGAATGCATGGGTATGGAAACCAAGGTGGGGGGAGTAAAAATAATGTTTTACCATCATTTCCAAGGACCCATTTGGAATATCTGCACTTCCTCTCCCAATAATTTTAAGTTCTATAGGACTGGATATCCTAGATATCAGAGGAGAATGTTTCTATCAGGGAACACAGCAAAAAGAGTTCCATTAAACTTCAAAGCTGTGGCTGCTTCCCAGGTGTTTCAGGCCTTTTGTACCAAGAAAGGAGCAGGAAAGGAACAGGCAGTATCCTGGCAGGGGAAATGGACCCTGATCATCATGAGCAAGTAAGGCTAAGGTTGTACAAAGGAAGAATACATTTGGTTCCAAGATGATCCACTAGATGTCTCCTCATATTCTGAAGCCTAAATCTAATGGCAAATGGGCAAGTAAGTGGACAGTCATGGCCGATGGAGTATACAGAATATCACCCAGCAAATTTACAGAATATATCAGTCCATTTAAAATGTTAATAGATTATTGTTGTCGAGAATCTGTCATTAGTCCTGTAAGTGCAAAAGTGATTACATCAGCAAACTGAGTGTGTATCCACCGGTTAGGATTCAACTTGTATTAACCTGGTGTATCGATCTGGGGCCCAGCAGGAAACAGGTGCCACACTCAAATGAGGTGACTAAAAATAATTTTATGAAGAAACAGTTTATAAGTGTGTAAGCTGGTTTAAGAGATTGCAACAAGAGATGATAGAGAATCCCTGGGATAGTTACAACTGAAAACCACTGCTACTGGTGGGTCTTAAAAGACAAGGGGTTGAGTGATTGTCAGAACATGAACAGACCTGTAGCTAAAGACCAGGAATCCTCTGTTATGAACTTTGGCTTTAGAAAGAAAACACAGCCAATACCAACCTGGAGCCTAGCAGGATGAACAATGGAGAAATAAATTTTTGCCCTGTTTATTCTTTCTCTCTTTGGTTTAATAATAGCCTTACTGAAATATAGTTTACACGCCATAAACTTCACCCTTTGAAAGTATACAATTTAGTGGCTTTTAGTATATTCACAGAATTATGCATCCATCATCACTATTTAATTTTAGAACATTTTCGTCACCCCCAAAAGGAGTACTATACCCCTTCTACCCTCCCTCCAGAGCCTGACAAACACTAATCTACATTCTGCTTCTATTTATTTTCCTTTTCTGGACATTTAATATAAATATAGCCATACAATATGTGGTCTTTCTTTGACTTCCTTTTTTCACTCAGTGTAATTTTTCAAGGTTCATAAATGTTGTACAATATATATATAGAATTCATTCCATTTTATTCAAAGAAAATTTTATTGTATAGATATACCACAGTTTGTTTATTCATTCATTAGTTAATGAACATATGGATTATTTCTACTTTTGGCTACTATCAATAACCCTGCTGTGAAAATTCATGTGCAACTTTTTGTATGGAGGTATTTTTACATTTCTTTTAGGTACATCACAATAGCGTACATGACAATTCTAGTTACTCCACATTCTTGTTGAACCTGTTATTGTCTATCTTTTTTGTTGTAGCCATCATAAGTGGGTATAAAGTAATATTTCATTGCGATTTTGATTTGAATTTGCTTAATAACTCATATTTTAGTGTTATTTTGTGTATATATTGGCCATTTGTATACCCTTTTTATTTTTATTTTTTAATTTACGTGGGCAAATAGTAGGTGTATATGTTTATGGGGTACATTAGTTGTTTTGATACAGGCATTTGATGTGAAATAAGCACATCATGGAGAAGGGGGTCCATCTCCTCAAGAATTTATCCTTTGAGTTACAAACAATCCAATTACATGCTTTATGTTATTTTAAAATGTAAAATAGAGTTATTATTCACTATAGTCTCATTGTTGTGCTATCAAATAGTAGATCTACTCATTTTTTCTAACTATCTTTTGTGCCCATTAACCATACCCATGTTCCCCCAATCCCTCCAAAACCCTTCCCAGCCACTGGTAACCATCCTTCTACTCTACGTCCTGGAGTTCAAATGTTTTGATTTTTAGATCCCAGAAATAAGTGAGAACATGCAATAGTTGAAGCAATATTTCTGTGCCTGGCTTATTTCACTTAACCTAATGATCTACTTGGGGGCATAATGATCATAACAGTGAGTTTTCTTCTAGCCCTGGGTTGATCTAGAAATGTCATCTGGGAGCTAGGGCCTGGAATGGGGACTTCAGGACTCTCGTTGTTGTTTTACTTTACTGTGGCTCAGCTGGTATCCAAATTGCAAGACAAAGTCCTAATTACTCTTCCCACTCTTCTGGGGCTGTGAGCTGTGCTGTCTGGAGCTGGGGGAGGGGTGATGCAGATGCTCCCTTGGCCACCTCCACTAGTGTCCCACAGGATTGCATGCATCCCAAGTCCACTGGCTTCAGGCCCAGCACAACACCAGGACTTGCCCAGGAATTGCAGTCATTGTGACCTATACTACCTTTCAAGCTTATTTAGGACCCTAAAGTTCTTTAGTTTGCATTCCTGGGGCTACCTGGAGCTCAGATTCCGACTGCTGGGATGGACGATTCTCCTCTGGCTAGGGTTAGTTGGTCTAAATACAACCCGTTTGGGGGCCAGCTGAATTCTTACCTGTGTTGCTTTCCACTGTGACAGGGCAGCACTGAATTTAAATGCAACGTCCCACAGTTGCTTTGCTTTTCCTCCCAAAGCACACAGATTCTTTTTCTCCATTTTATGTGGCCTCTGCAGGGGATGGGGAGGGGTGGTGTATGCAGTTTAAGACTGTCTTTTCTACCCTCTTCGGTGCCTTTTGCACTGTGATTGCTCACCTGAGTTTGTTTCTTATGAAAGTGTTTTCTTGTGTGGATAGTTGAACTTGTTGTTCCGGGGGTGGTGGTGGGGCAATTGCTGGAGGCTTCTATTTGACTGTCTTGCTCAGCGTCTTTCAGTATTTTATTATTTTTATGCTATTGTAAGAGAAATTATTTTCTTACTTTCAGTTTTTGTTTATTAATAATTTATAGGTTGCTTTCAGTATTTTCATGTTATATTCTATGACCACGCTGAATTCATTTATTAGTTCATATATATATATATATATATATATTTAAAATCATTTTAACTGCAAGTAGAGATAGTTGCACTTATTTATTTCCAATCTGGTTGTCTATTATTTCATTTTTTCCCCTATTTGCTCATGGAGCTCTCAGGACAATGTTAACTAGAAGTGGTAAGAACAGATATTCATTTATTGTTTCTGAACTTAGGGAGGAAATATTTAATCTTTAACCATTGAGCATCAAATTAGCTGTGGATTTTTGTTGTTATTGAGGCTGTCAGCTTTAGGAATTTCTCTCTATTCCTAGTGTGTTGAATTTTAGGTTTTTTAATCATGAAGTATACTGGATTATGTTAAATGTGCTTCTATGTCTGTTGAGATAATCACGTGGTTATTGAATTTATTCTATTAATATGGTACAACATACTAATAGAGTCTTGAATGTTAAATCAACCTTGCATTCACAGTTAATTCACACTTGATCATAGAGAATAATCCTTTTTATGTGACTAGATTCAGTTTCCTAGTATTTTGTTGAGGATTTTTGCATCTATATTTACAAGTAATACTTGGTCGATAGTTTCCTTTTCTTGGAATGTTGTAGTTGAGTTTTCGTATCAGAGTAATATTACCCTAATAAAATAAATTTGAAAGTGTTTCCTCCTCTTCCATTTTTTTGGGAAAAGTTTGTGTGAAAGATTGGTACTTATTTCATTTTAAATGTTTGGAAAAAAAATGCCAGTGATGTCATATGGGCCTCTCATACTTAGGATTTTTGTGTGTGTGTGTGTGTGGTTAGAACACATAAAATCTACTCTCAGCAATTTTCAAGTATACAATACATTGTTATTTACTATAGTCATCATATTGTACAATAGATCTATTGAACTTAATCCTACTATCTACCTGAAATTTTGTAGTCTTTGGCAAACATTTTACCATTTTACCCCCACCCTCTTTGACTCCTGGTAACCACTATTCCATTCTCTGCTTCTTTGAGTTTGACTTTTTTAGATTTCACAAATAAGTGAAATCATTTGGTATTTTTCTTTCTGTGCCTAGTTTATTTCACTTAATGTAATATCATCCAGGTTCCTCCATGTCATTGCCAATAACAAGATTTGTTTCTTTTTTGAGGCTGAATAATATTTCATTCTATGCCTATACCATATTTTCATCATCCATTCATTTGTTGATGAACACTTATGTTGATTCCATATGTTGGCTAGTGTGAATAATGCTGCAATAAATAAGACAGTGCAGCTATTTCTTTAGCATACTAATTTTATTTTCCTTGTACATATACCCATAGTGAAAATGGTGGATCACATGCTAGTTCTGTTTTTAAATTTTGAGGAACTTTTATATTATTTTCTATATGGCTCTACTAATTTGCATTTCCACCAACTGTTTACAAGGATTCCTTTTTCTCCACATTCTCAACAACAGATGTTATCTTTCATCTTTTTTTCTCATTTATAATTTACTGAGCCACACTAGAATTTAAATTAGCACATCAATTTTTAAAATACTATTTAAAATAACAATATGCCAGGAAGTTGGTACAAAATTCTTTGTTTATTTTATTGAATATATATTTTTAAATTTATGGATATATTGTAGTTGCTCATATTTATGGGGTACGTGTGATATTTTGATATGAGCCTACAATGTAATGATCAAATCTATAGCCATTCTAACAAGTGTGTGGTGATATCACATTGTGGTTTTAATTTACATTGCCCTGATGATTAGTGGTGTTGAATACTTTTTCATATACTTCTTGGCTATTTGTATGTAGTCTTACCAAATTGGAGATACCTCTCTTTTTTTAACTTTGTTTTCTTTACCTTTAAATAGTTTTTCACTCATTGGTTTTATGATTAAACTCTCAGATAACTAATTCTCCTTATTTGAGTGTTATTGGGGTAAGATAATTCCGTATGTGTTTTGTGTTTTAAATACATTAGGCTAATAATATGGGGCTTTTTGTACTCAAGAAGATCCAGAAATTTGCTATGAAGATAAGAATTGTAATGTGTTCATTGAACCGGACTTAAGAAATCTGTCTGGACTTAAGAAATCCTTATATGAAATAAGGATTTTCATAATCACAACTGAGTATGATTTTCCAGAAAACTTAACACACATAGAGATTTAATACAGCATTATTCTATCTGTATGATAGTTATAGTTATCTATAGATATATCACTTTCACAATCTACAAATGATTAATACAAGAAAACTAATTGTTCGCATATAAAATAAAGTTACAAAATGATTTTTATAAGTCAACTTAGGCTAAGTTTTGCTACCATAACTTTCAACTGAAGAATTTCAGAGTTATACCACAACAAAGTATATTTCTCACTCACTTTACATACCTATTGTAGGTCAGATATGACTTTATTCAAGAGCCCAGACTGACCATAACCCCTAACATACTGATAGTCTCATGGCTGATAAAAACATATAAATAGCAAGATACATTCTGGCCATAAACTTCTCTCCTTAGACATGACCCAATTCATGTCTACTTACAAGTCATAAAGTTAAACCTATATCTAAGGCACAGAAAAATATATTATTCTACTGATAGAGTTATCATAGGAAGAAAAAGCGAGGTAAAGTGTGGTAAATATGTTAAACAATAAAGCAGTATGCTGTACCTTCGTATCTCCTACCTCAGAAACCAGTTATGTGTCTTTTCAAGGCATCTCTAAGCACCTGCTCCTTTGTTTGCATCAAATCTTATCTGCATGCATTATTAATTCATGTGAACTAACTGCATAATAAAAGATTAGGGTGGGGTGGCCAAAAATTTGCACCCTATACAAATGGCACACCTAGTCCTAACCAGTTTTTAACACCTTATGAAAATGGCACACCTACTCTAACCAATTTTTTGCACCCTATGTAAATCTGACGCTGCTTCCTCAGGCTCATCTACATAACTCTCTGCATTTCACCACAGAAGCAGAAAACCCACTTGGGACCCCTCTCTCTGCAGGAGAGAGTTCTTCTCTTTCTTTTGCCTAATAAAGCTCAGTTCTTAACCTCACTCCTTGTGTGTCCACATACTTGATTTTCTCAGCATGAGACAATAAACCTCAGGTATTACCCTAGACAAAAGATGCCATTTCAACATTACATAAAGATATAACAAAAACAACCACCACCGCATAATGAATTCAGTCTGGCTGATTTAAATGAAGGTGTCTGATATAGTTTGAATGTTGTCCCCACCCAAATCTCATTTCAAAATGTAAACTCCAGTGTTGGAGGTGGGACCTGGTGGGAGGTGACTGAATCATGGGGGCATGATATGGTTTGGCTGTGTACCCACCCAAATCTCATCTTCAATTATAGCTCCCATAATCCCCAAGTGTTATGGGAGGGACCTATGACTAGGTAATTGAATCATGGGTGTGAGTTTTTCCCATGCTGTTCTCATGATAGTGAATAAATCTCACAAGATCTGATGATTTTATAAAGGGCAGTTCCCCTGCACATGCTCCCTTGCCTGTCACCATTTAAGACGTGACTTTGCTCCTCCTTTTCCTTCCACCATGACTGTGAGGCCTCCCCAGCCATGTGAAACTGTGAGTCCATTAAACCTCTTTTTCTTCATAAATTACCCAGTGTTGGGTATGTCTTTATTAGCAGCATGGGAATGGACTAATTCAGGGTGGATTTCTCACGAATGGTTTAGCACCATCCCCTTAGTGCTGTTCTCATGATCGTGAGTGAGTTCTCATGAGACCTGGTTGTTTAAGTGTGTGTCATCTCCCCTCGCACTCTTTCTCCTGCTTTTGCCATTTGACATGTTGTCTCCCACTTCACCTTCTGCCATGATCATAAGCTTCCAGAGGCCTCCCCTGAAACAGATGCTGGTGTTATGCTTTCTGTAGAACCTACAGAACCATAAGCCAATTAAACTTATTTTCCTATAAATTACCCAGTCTAAGGTAGTTATTTATAGCAATGCAAAACCAGACAAATACAGTGGTTTAGTAAGGGATATGAGGTGGCTCACGGTTTTGTGAGGTCTAGAGAAAGCATCTAGGAGCTAGCACACTACATCAAGAAGCACAATTGTCTTAATTGGGAAAGTGCAGCTGCAGATATGAAAGCAATTGCTACCATCAATAAAGACTGGGAGCTGGACTTTACCATCATTATTATTTTTCCATCTTTTCTATCACTATTTCTGTGATAGCAAGTAGTCCCTGCTTTCACTGACACATAGATGCCTCTTTTGCCAACTGGGCCAGACAGACAGGATGGAAGATCCTCCTTGTCCTATTTTCACACCCTGCTCAATTTTGAATGAAATTTGCCCATAGTGTCCCTTGTTGATAGAGCCAAAGTTCACATGTCTGTTTCTTGCTGAAAGGGAGGTTTGGAATATGGGATTCTGATTCTTATCTTTGTGGGATAAATCAACTATACAATGTAGAAATTTCCTAAAGTTTAGAAAAACTATTATTAATTTGAAATAATGAGCAACAATGAATATGATTTTTATATACCTCTACACATAGAAATAACTGATTAATTGGGTAAAAGAAAGCTGGAAGCCAAATCCTCAAGAAGGAAGCTAACATAAAACAAAATGTTTCTAATAAGAAAACCATAGAAAGCCTTGGGAATAGTAGGCAAAACCTTTTCTCTCCAGTTTTTTTTTTTTTTTTTTTGGTGGTATGATTGAAAAAATAATCTTGAATTTTTTGCTCACAAGGTGGGTTTAACATTGGAGAATTGGTTGCAAATTTTTAAAATGAGCAGTGTGACCTTAAATCTCTTGACCCAACCAACAGTGTCTAGATACCTCTCCACCCCTGCCCTCCAGGTCTTGCAATTTATTCTCTAGAGAGGTTAAGCCAGAGAGGATATAGACAAGAGGGCACTAGGCACCACTGAAGACAGGGTGGGATGCCATAGTTAAAACAGGATAATTAAGTGTGTTCTGTTAATAGAACTGTGAGAATATCCCAACACTATCTCCATTCAGTTTGAGAAACCATAAAATAGTTCCTGATTGGCTCAGGAGCAAAGACCTAGACATACTGCCATTTGTGGAGCTCCTGATTAAATGGCTGGAATTCTTACCTACCTATTTGCAAAGGCCAATATTTTATAAGCCTCATTTATGCACAAAGTATATGCAATAATTTTATTTTTATCTCACTTGTAAATATAAGTGGACAGCCAAAAATTCTGGCACTTGGGAAACTGTAACATAAAAGACAGAGA